>NC_000008.11:5501131-5803416 GCF_000001405.40 Homo sapiens | reverse complement strand
CCTTTCATCATCCACGTGCACAACTGCTCCCTGAAAGGGGGAGCAATGTTAATTACCTGCAGATTGTTTTTGCTCCAAGCTTTTGGCATTATGTCTGTACTGAATGAAAGCTAGCAGCTCCAGGTGTTTGAGACTGTTCACTCTTTGCCCACTAGTGCCAGGCAGGCCCCTAGCTGCTCTTACACCACATACCTGTGTCTGAGTACTCCTTTCATCCATTGCTCTGCCAGGGTCTGGGGGATGGACCCGGCAGCTGGTGCTGTGTGTAAGGAATGCTACAACAGATTGTGACGGAGCCCTTGAAAATGAAGGTGAAGTGACTGCACAGTAAGTAGTTGGTGCCTGCTCAGGATTTCCAAGTTCAAGGGAATTTTCAAGCTAGGGTTTCATCATGGGAGAACAGTTATCAGCTCAACAGCAACAGTGTATAAAAGTATTGAAACAGTTGCTTAAAGCTAGCAGCACCTTGGATTCCGAGGCCCAATTAAGGAACCTAATGCAAACTGTTGTTTTTCATAACCCAAAGTTTCCAGAAGAAGGCACGCTAGACCTAGAGCTCTGGAAACAAGTGGGGAGAAATCTTAATTGACATCATGCACAAGGGCAATGGGTCCTAGTAACATCTTTAATGTTGTGGGCCTTAGTTATGGCTGCTTTGACCCCACTCTACACAGAAGAGCCTAGAAAAGGAGAGGAGGAAGAACCATCACCTATCTTACCACCACCTCCTCCTCCTCTCTCAGCCCCACCATTACCGAGTAAAGATACCAAAGAGGAGATGGAGGTTTTTCCTGAGTCCCTTCCCCCAATAAATTGGAAAAAAGACAAGGGATACAATACAGTTATAGGACCCTGTCATAGGCAAGCAACATTAGAAGAGGAGCCCTTGGCCTGCCCTGTGATGTAAGATCAACAAGGCAATCCGGTACATGAACCCATTACTTTCAACACTTATACAGAAATAAGAAAAAGCATTAGAGAAAATGGAGCTCGTAGGCCATTTATGAAAGTATTAATTGAGGCCATAGCAGACAACTTCCATATGACCCTGTGGGACTGGTCAGTATTAGCCGAAACAACTTTAGAGGACAGTCAAAACCTCCTCTGGAGGGCAGAATTTGATGAATCATGTAGACAATAGGCCAACCAGAATCAACTGGCCAGGCAAAACATAACAACTGTGATTCTCCAGGGCAGATGTCCGTATGTTAATACACAATCTCTAATCATGCCCATCCCTGTTAATCTTCAGGGATAGGACCTATTAGCCCAATGTGGGGTCACCCTGCAGACCCCTTCCTAATAATGACCACTGTTGTGATTCTTCCCCTACCCATGACATGGCTCTCTCAAGATCCAATTTGGGTAGAACAGTGGCCTATAAAGGGAGAGAAATTGCAGTGAGCCCATGAATTAGTTGAGGAGCAATGAAAAGCCAGCCATATAGAACCATCAAATAGCCCTTGGAATTCGCCCATTTTCGTCATTCCCAAAAAGTCTGGTAAATGGAGAATTTGCATGGCTTACATGCTATCAGTGCTAATTTGCAACCTATGGGGCCCCTTTAACAGGGACTCCCTTCCCCTGCGGCAATTCCTTGAGATTGGCCAACAGTCATGATTGACTTGAAAGACTGCTTTTATATTATTCCCCTTGCAAAACAGGACAGAGAAAAATTTGCATTTACAATACCAACTATTAATAATGAAAGGCCACCTTGCCAATTTCATTGGGAAGTACTTCCTCAAGGAATGCTGAACAGTCCTACCATGTGTCAGTATCATGTAAATCAGCTTCCATCCCCAGTAGAAAATTTCCTAATTGAAAGATGATCCATTAAATGGATGACATCTTACTTGCAGCCCCAATGGAGCTGATACTTTTGAATTTATATGCCTCTATCAAAAGGAATACACACTTAAGAGGTTTAATCATAGCACCTGAAAAAGTACAGCTGTCCTCTCCTTGGAAATATCTTGGATACATACTAACTTCCCAATCAGTAAGACCTCAAAAGGTTAAACACTGACAACTTTCACACCTTAAATTATCAAAAATTACAGGTTGATATTAACTGGCTTCATCCCACCTTGGGCATAACTACTGATAAATTACACAACCTGTTTTCTATCCTAAAGGGCAATGCAGCCCTGGACTCCCCCAGGTATTTAACCCCCACTGCAAAAAGGGAAATTGAAGAAACAGAGCAAGCTATTTCTCAGAGGCAACTAGATCACATAGACCCATGATATTCAGTCCAGTTATTTGTATTTCCTACTAAACATTCCCTAACAGGATTAATGGGACAGAAAGCCTCAGGGCTGAGCTTTCTAAAATGGGTTTTTTACTCACATATTGGGATTAAAACACTATCTCCCTATGTCCTGCTAGTTTAAGTCAAGTCATCTATACAGGCTGCAGACAATGCAATCAGTTGCTAGGTTAATACCCTGATGTCATAAGAATACCGTTGAGTAAAAAGCAATTTGAAGCAGAATGCCCCTATCTCTGGATCTTCAGACAGCACTGATTATGCAGCCCATATAGAATATGCCCTTCCTGCTGACAAACTACTTCAGTTCTTATCTCATACTCCTGTAGTTATGCCTACAAAGGTAGTTCACTCCCCCATACCTAATGCTTTAATGCTTTTCACTGATGGCTCTGTAAAAATGCAAAAGCAGCTAGCTTTTGCTAGCTAGGGAACCGCATAACTCCCCTACTTGATCTGGATTCACTAGCAGTCAGAGAGCTCAGGTTGCAGCCGTAATATTGGCCGTGGAAACCTTTTCCACTCAGCCCATTCATATTGTTAGTGACCCTGCTTATGGTGTTTATTTATTGCAGAACCTTGTGACAGCCCTCATTAAGACCATTCTTGCGCCCACTCTATGTGCACTTTTTCTTTGACTTCAGCAGTTGCTGGATCTATGAACACATCTTGTTTTTAATCACACACATTCAAGACCACAGCTCACTGCCTGGCCCACTGGCTTATGGCAATGGTCACGCAAACTTGCAGGTTATGACATCACTGCTTGACCAAGTCACCCAATCACATCAATCCACCAAAATTGGAGAAACTTATCTAAACAATTTCAGTTAACCAAAAGGCTGAACAAATTATCCTGCAATGCTCAGATTGCCAGCTCACAGGCACATCCCCTCCTTCAACAGGTGTTAACCCTAGAGGACTAGATCCTCATCAGTTATGGCAAACAAATGTTACACATGCCCCTGATTTTGGAAAACTAAGATATTTACATGTATCCGTTGATACAAATTCCTACTTAATTAGCACTCATGCTTTTCCTGCAGAGTCTGCTCCATATGTCATCAAACATCTTAACTTTTGTGTTTATGGGGTGGCCCACAAAAATTAAAAGTGATAATGTTCTGGCTTATGCCAGCTCACAATTTCAACAATTTTGTCACACATGGAATGTGCAACATTCCAAGAGTATCCTGTACAACCCCCAGGGACAGGCCATAGTAGAACATGACCACTCCACCCTTAAAAATATGCTCAGAAAACAAAAAAGGGGGAATGTGTGTAAGGACTCTGCAACACTACTGGCACAAGCCTTATGTACCCTTAATTTTTTAAATTTAGATGGTAAATTTCAATCAGATATAGAAAAGCACTTTGCAAATATTGCTCAAGATATAAAACCTTCAGTTTTATGGAAAGATGTAAATAGTAATATATTGTGTAGTCCAAATGATTTGCTAACATGGGGAAGACGTTATGCTTGTTTTCACATCCCCTCACGTCCTCTTTGGATTCCAGCAGGGGGCAACAAACCTTACCATGGTGTAGCTAGGACCCAACTCAGTACCAGGAATGAAGAAAATGACCCTGTAGGTCCTGCAACCCTGGACAATGTGGCTTCCTGAGATGACACAGGCTCCAGACATTACTTGGGAGATGCCGAAGAAGAGAACACAAGAGGCTGAGTGAATCCTACTCCAGACAGACACCATTCACTCCAGAAAATTTGTTCCTTGCCATGCTTTCTGTCGTACATTGCAATTCTCATAGGGTATTAACCTTTTTTATTCTGTCACTTTGCCTACTATCTGTACCTCCTACAGGGCCCATCTTCTAGATCTACATTACTTCTGCCTTATTACTTGGGCAGACACCCACTTCCTAGCTTGTAACAATGTGACTGCTTGGCTAGGAGGGATTGACATACTCCCAGTTGGGCCCTTCGGTAATGGCATACATTGGACTGAGGTGCCAAGTAACACTACATATCACGCCTTGATTGGAAAAGAATAATACTGACTTATACTCATGTTTGTCTGTTATTTACTAATTCTACGATGCAAAGTCAGAACATGAGCTGTAACCACTGCACCTGTCAAGCCTGTCACTGCACACGTCTGTACTCTTCAATCAACAAAAGCTGATGCAAAAAAAACGGAAAAGAGGGAGCTATAGGAGATTGGTCAGAGTGGTGGGAGAAACTACAGGGAAAGGAGCAGGCCTTCTGAAAGGTCAGAAGGCTCTGCATAGCTTCAGGGGAGAATAAGCTGAAGGCAGCTGTTCTCTGACCGTGAGGCAGAGGGCAAGGAGTAGGTACAAGGAAGTGTAGGGGAATTTATCTTAAATAGGCTTGTTTACTTATACTGTACAAAATCCAACCTTTGATCATCCAAGCACGAGACTGCTCCTTGAAAGGGGGAGACAATAATGTTAATTACCTACAGATTATGTTTGCTGCAGGCTTTTGGCATTGTGTCTGTACTGAATAAAAGCAAGCAGCTCCAGCTGTTCGAGACTGTTCACCCTTTGGCCACTAGTGACGGGCAGTCCCCTAGCTGCTCTAACACTGCATACCTGTGTCTGAGTACTCCTTTCATCCATCACTTGGCCAGGGTCTGTGGAATGGACCCGACAACTGTAAATGAAAGTGTTTAGTTCCATCTATTTTACTTATTTGGTCACATATGATATATAAAATGTTACCAAATTTCTTAATCTTGATTTTTATCTAAACATCATACCAAATGCTTTTGTAAGTTATAAAGATTTATTTTCAATTTAATATGTAGAGAATCAAACTGAGAACAAATAGGCTTTCAAATCTGTCATTCCAAGCATACAGGTGAGAGACAGAGAGAGAGAGAGAGAGAGAGGATATGTGTATTATTCTTTTGGCTAGGTTCTCCCATACAGTGTTGATGAGGGATAGTGACATCATGTGCCCTGCATTATTTTTGTTTTTAATAAAAATACCTAAAAAAATCCACTATTAAATATTATGCTCCCTGTGGTTTTTAGTAAGCAAATTAGAAAAGCAACTACTTAAGTATAATGTACATATATATATTATGTATATATACGCATATGGAGACATATATATGGAGATATATGTATATAGTACATGGATATGCATATATGTGTATATACTCATAAATTCCTGATTAATATTACCAAGGACATTTACCATATCTATGTGGAAGAATATGATTTTCACCTTGAAAATGTTATCTTTTGAATTACATCTTATGTATTAAATTACTTAGAGGATATTTTACTTTTCATAATGCATTTTATATATACCTGTTATATTAAAGCATATTATTTTGGGATCCATTAACACTTTGAAAAAATTAAGATTGAGTTTTCATTGAAGTTTTAGTGAAATGTTTATATAAAACCCTCTGTACCTGATATTTTTTATAGCTGAGAGTGGAGGAGTAAACAAGGTTAATGTAATTACCATTTCAAATCTTTATGTTAATATAACCCAATTCCATTTCAATCAATTATGGTAATTTTATACAAAATTCTCCATTTTTTATTTAAAAAGTATACAAAATTTTTGAAAATTTTTTTTTTACATCTCCACTTTCTTTGAATTTGTGTCCCCTTTTCTTTATGTTTTTCCTCTACTTTTTCCTTTTCAAGTTTTTGTAGTTATTTGTTTGTATCTTCTTTCTCAGTTTTTGAACTATGGGACTTTTACAATTACTAGTCTTTGCTATCATTTCCTTGTTTTCTATTTGATCAATTTCTCTTATTTTTACTTTCCCTCAATCTGTTTTGAAACACGTCTCATTTTTAAATTCCTTAACACTTTTGTCATTAATATTCACTCCTTCTTTCCTGCTTTTTAAATTTAATCTGTTAATTTCCTGGGACATATTTTAACTGCGTCCCATAGTTTGATACTTACACTTTTCATTACCATTCAATTCCAAAACATACACTATTTTCATTAACATTTTTAATACTTAATTTAATTAGAAGTCACTTCATTTAAGTTTCAAGACTTGTGATTTGTGCTATTTAAATCATTTCTAATTGTGTGACTTTGTGTTAGAAAACATGTTTATGTTTCATCAATTCATTCTAATTTAATGAGAGCAGTTTTGTGACCTAGTATATTTCAAGTATACATAAAAGTGATTATATCTTGGTAAATGTATAATTCCTCTTCTACACGTCTTATTTTTGATATGCATCATTCATTTCTGAAGGAAGTTTGCTGAGATCTTTCACCATGAAGTTCTCTATAATCTTGTGTGTCTTTCAAGTCTGTCTTACATCTATTCAGATGACGTTTTAAAGTCATCTTTATGTACAATGAACTGAATCTAGTTAAAGTACACAAGGCAATGAGTTTTGACAAACGTACATAACCATGAAACCACCACAATGAAAAATCAGAACCTTTCTAAATCACCGAAAGATTGTTCCTTCCATGTAGAAGTTGATCGTATGCTCTGAATCCTTGACAAATGATTTACTTGTCACCATAGATGAGATCTCGTTTGCTAGGGTTTCATATTAATGGAACCACATAGTGTGTACTCTTTTTTACTTATTCTTCATAATGATTCTGACATTCATTCATGTTTTTGCATGTATCCATAGTTCCTTTGTATTTTGCGGTGGTACTCTATTTTGCTAATGAATTCACCTGCTGCTGGATGTTTAGGCAGTTACCAAGTTGAGGCTATTGTAAATAAGGTATTGCTGAAACAGGATAATCTCCCTTATTCCCCTCACAGGGTGTGTGACAGGGATGTGCTTCACTTCTTCGGTGCCCTGATGCTCAAACCACTATGGGGAGCATGCAGATGGGCAGGATGTGGGAGCGTTTTGGTGGCTCCCACCCCATGGCAGTGTCTAGGGTTCGGTGTTTACAGCTCCCGAAGCCCTAGTCAGCGTGTGTTACAGTGTGTTCTTTCAGTTTCACCATCTGCAGGTGGCTCAATTAGACCCTCCGCCTTATCACAAGGATAGAGAGCTTTCTGTATCCTGGGTTCTGGCCCTTGTGTACCAGAAACATAATTGGATCAAATGTGGGCTTGAGAATGAGTACAAGATTTTTTTCTCATGTTTGCTTGTTTGTTTGTTTTTTTGGAGATGGAGTCTTGCTCTGTCACCAGGTTGGAATGCAGTGGCACGATCTCGGCTTACTGCAACCTCTTTCTCCCGGGTTCAAGCAATTCTCCCTCAGCCTCGCAAGTAGCTGGGATTACAGGAATGCACCAGCATGCCAGGCTAATTTTTTGCATTTTAGTAGAGATGGGGTTTCGTCATGTTAGCCAGGATGGTCTCTATCTCCTGACCTCATGATCCTCCCGCCTCAGCCTCCCAAAGTGCTGGGATAACAGGTGTGAACGACCATGTCCTGCTGAGTGCAAGGTTTTATTGTGTGTTGGAGGTGGCTCCTAGCAAGATGGATGGGGAGAGAGAAGGGGGATGGAATAAGAAGGTGGTCTTCCCCTGGAGTCAGGCCATCCAGTGGCTGAACTCTCCTCTGACTGCCCCTGGCCAAATTCCCCTTGGCATCTGTGTCATTCTGCTGTCAATGGCCTGCTGGTGTCTGCCAGTGTGTTCTTCTCCTTTCGACGTCCAGCCATTTGGGACTGTTCCCTCTAGGGTCTTGGATTTTTATGGGCATAGGATGGGGAGCATGGCAAGCCAAAAGGCAAATTTTGGGCATGAAAACAGAAATGCCTGTCCCCATTTAGGTCAACGGGCACAGGCCCGAGGGTGGAGCCCCTGCCATGGACCTCGCCCTTCTCTACCCAGTACTTCCCTGCCTCCCTCCCATATCATTACAAATACTTAAGTATACATATTTTTATGACAATATATGGTTTTATTCCATCTTTCTAAACACATAGACTTTCACACTTTACTTGTCCCATTAGGTGTGCATTCGTATTTCATTGTTTTCATGACTCTGATAGAATTATCATAATGATCGTTTTTGATGTAACAATTATTTTTATACGACCTTTGTGAGCTATTTATTGTATCACAAATTTGTCCTGGGTCTTCTCCCAGTTCCTCTAGTTGGCATTTTCAGTTTCCTGACCATGCTGTCACTATGGATACTCTCAAAGAAAGAGGAAAAAACCAGAAAATCCATTTCATGTAGGTCAATTCCTCCAAGTCTGTACTATTGTCCACCCTTTTCCAATAACTAAATCAATGAGTAAAATTTACCTGCTTCTATTCACTCTCTAGTGCCCTTCAGAAATTTCTGTTTTGTGGTTGTTTATAGATTTTAAAATGGTTTACTGTAACTTACTCTTCCATAGGAGAAGAGGAACTCGGGCTACCCCTTCATTCTGCTTTCTTTTTGTCTTTTTGAGCAGGATGCTGAGCCTATCATACATTTTAAAATTTTGAATGCTATTATAATGGAGCTGTGGAAGCTTTCTCTATAGATGAATGAATGAGTTAATTAATGTCCACTCCCTCCTCTCATTTCTCAGTCCTGTCAAGCAAAACTCTAAAGTGTTGCATATGTATGTGATGTGATGCAAATGAAACATATGATCTTGTAAAACATGCATTGTGTGGTGTTCACCCATTTTCAATTCCTGTAAATGGCATGATAATATAGTTGTCAGGCTAGTCCCTTTTCTTCCATGATGCTTCATGGTTTTAGCATCTAGTTATATTTCACTATGTACACATAAAATGTTTATTGTAACTATTGCCTAGACGTTCATACTTTTCATCTCTCACTTTCAATTTCTAGTCGCCCACTGATAGAAAAAGTAATTAACTGTCCATTAGCATGAATGACGTGTGGATAAACATCCCTTTAAACCTTGACATCTGAACCCATTTGAAATGATCTTCTGAGCTCTGCAGTCACGAGTGAGTGAGGTTAAGTTGCTGTGTCATAGAATGCGTACATACTTAATTTGACTAAATTAGGCCAGATTGTCCTCTACAATATGTGTGGCATATTGTTTCCAATCATCCCATGATCTTGATGTATTGTTCTATTAGTACTCAGCAATATTCTTCTTAATCGATATAAATGGTTTTCACTTTAAATTCCCCTTTGGTTGATACTAATATTTGCTTTAATTTGCATTTCCCTGAATAGAATTTTCTTTCCACTCTATGTTATTATAAACAGTTGTGCCATTTCTAAATAGTATATAGCGATATTTTAAATTTAAACTGTAAATTTGTTATTAGGCAAATTTAATTCATTTATAGTCACTGTTACAAATGTCCCATTTGTAGAATTTAAACGTTAGAGTTATCAAATAATCTTTATTTGTGTGATATTTCCTCTTCATTCACAGTCCACTTTTTGGGTTAACTGCCTATTTTTGTAAATCTATTTATCAAAATTATTTTGTATTCTTGAACCCACCTCCCGGGTTCAAGCAATTCTCTGCCTCAGCCTCCCGAGTAGCTGGGATTACAGGCACCTGCCACCGCACCTGGCTAATTTTTGTATTTTTAGTAGGAATGGGGTTTTACCATCTTGGCCAGGCTGGTCTTGAACTCCTGACCTAGTGATCCACCCACCTTGGCCTCCCAAAGTGCTGGGATTATAGGCGTGAGCCACCATGCCCGGTCTATTTTGTGTTCTTTAGGCCACAGACCCTCCCTGTGTGTTGAAACCTACAAATTCCTTCTCAGAACACTGTTTTGAAATGCACAAAAAATACATGTATCTTGTCTACTATTTGTTAATGTTAACCTATCTTCATTGTTTTGGATTTCTGCACATCTTGTGTGATTATTGAAGGTCTGCTCCTCTTCCTATTTGAGATTCCTTATTTGTTGCCAAGTCTGCTTATTGTTATGTTGCAAGGGCGTCATGTGCTTCTGGTAGCTTTGTCAGCAGCTTGTCTTTCCAGCAGAGGAACCTCCTATTCCTGATGGGACACCAAGTATGACCCTGTCTGACTGCTCCATTTTTCACTTCTCAGCAGCCTTACTTACTGCTCTAACCTTTGGTGGACATTTACTCAAATCTACTCAGACACACATACACACACACAAGCAAGAAAGAATGCAAATCTACCAGCTGTTTTGATTGCAAGTATGAAATTAATTTCTTCTCCACTTTGCAAAAAGTATAAGTCTTCAAAATACAATAGAATGTAGTCAGATTCTTTATATTGGCCAGTGTTGTTGGTTCAACCATTTAAAATGACTGTCTTTTTCCTCGTCATTCAAAGTTACTTCACTTGTAGTTTTAGTTTTATGCTTATGTTATAGGACAGTGGTTCCGATCCAGGTCCCAAGAGAGGGCTCTTGGATCTCGTGCAAGAAAGAATTCAGGGCAAGTTCACAGTGCAAAGTAAAAGCAAGTTTATTGAGAAAGTAAAGAAATAAAAGAATGGCTAGTCCATAGACAGAAGAGCCCCATGGGCTGCTGGTTGCCCATTTCCATGGTTATTTCTTGATGATGTGCTAAACAAGGGGTGGATTATTCATGCATCCCCTTTTTAGACCATACAGGGTAACTTCCTGACATTGCCCTGGCATTTGTAAACTGCCACGGCGCTGATGGGAGTGTAGCAGTGAGGACGACCAGGGGTCACTCTTGTGGCCATTTTGGTTTTGGTGGGTTTTGGCCAACTCCTTTACTGCAACCTGTTTTATCAGCAAAGTCTTTGTGACCTGTATTTTTGTGCTGACCTCCTATCTCATTCTGTGACTTAGAATGCCTTAACCGTCTGGGAATGCAGCCTAGTAGGTTTCAGCCTCATTTTACCCTGCTCCTAATTAAGATGGAGTTGCTCTGGTTCACACACCTCTGATACTTACGTGAGAAAATAAACACATCACTGAGAATACAGTTTTAGAAAAAATAAATTTTTAAATAATCTGCCAGTAAGAGCTAGACTATTATAGAGAACTGATCTGAAAAAAAAAATTATTTACCTCCGAGTTCTTGGAACAGTTGTTAGAAAGATTATGAGGGTCAAGCAGATATCTGATCTGAATCTCAAACACATTCTTAAGACATTCTTAATGAAGGATGAATGATGGTGGAGTGTATTAGTTTCTACGGAACCACAGCCCGTTACTAATGCCAGTTTCTTCACCTAAAGACTTCTGAATGTCTCTCTATAGTGATCTACTCTGTGTGCTCACCTGGGCATGTTCCTGTAATAAGAACACACTTTCCTGCTATCACTTTTGAAAGCTGGGTTAATTAATTTACTGAATTCTCAATGTGGTAAACTAGGAATTGGAATCTTCACAAAACGGTTTAAGTGAATGCACAAAATCAATAAGTGAGAGCCTAAGAGCTGTTAATTGACAACTGAGCTTTCTGTTCTCAGCTCTCTGCTCTAACATCTATCTTTGTATTAGGCAATACGAAGAAATATCATTGCAGATTGCAAGCATGTTAGGTGTGAAGAAAGAGGCGAGACACTAGTGGAAAGTACGAAACTCTATTCTCTTAAGCAACAAGTTTCAACTTGTCATTTCCCTGATTCAACTGTTCAAGTGACCTTGGTTCAATTCTCGGTATTGACTTGTGTGGTTGATCCTAGTATGTAGGCTCTGACTGAGATAAATGTTTTTCCTGCCATCTGGCTATTTCATAATAACTAGCAATTAGAGTCATTTGACTACGCTTTTCCAAGAGATACAGAAGTAACATGTTTTTACACAAACCTATTTTTTAAATAAGTGTAAAAACATTGGAAGAAATGATGTTTTGGTTTGGCTGTGTTCATGAAGATATAAGATCAGACTTGATTCTTGCTGCTCTGAGCTATAAGAATGTCATACAATATGATTCATTCTCAATTTACTCTCAGAATGATAAAGTCAGAAGTTATTTCTTTTTTGTCTTAAAAAATAACCTTTATAATTTCTCTTAATCTGGCAGCCTCATCTCCGATTGTTATGCTTATAAATTTAGCTTTAACTATTTTCAGTTCTTATCAATTTCTAGGGAAACTTCACATTGTGCTAATTATTGAGAGTATCTGCCAGCAATAGCAAAATTCACTTATACATAAAATACCTCCACACACAATGCAGGTAAGACACACACACACACACTCCAGGATCTCATGAACCTGCAATTACGGTGTCAGTCAGTGCTGGGGTCTTTTATCTGTGGGTTGATTTGAGGAAGTCCCTGCTTCTAGGTTCCCTTAGTGGTTGTTAGAGGACGTCATTTCCTCTTGCAGTGTTGGATCAAGGGATTCATTTTCTAGCTGGCTGTTGGCTGGAGGGTACCCTGAATTCCCTATCAGATGGGCTTTCTCCGCCTAGCAACGTGCCTTATCAAAGCCATCAAGGGATAGTCCTCTAGCAAGATGGAACTTAAAGTCTCAAGCAATGCAATTATGGAAGTAACAACCCATCACCTTTGACGTATTCTCTTTGTTCTAAAGAAGCACAGCTCTAACCCATCATCTACGAGAGGGGATTATCAGGAGCATAAATACAAGTAAGGACAGTGGGGATCATTGTGCAGCCTGTTTTCCACAAAAAGAAAAGATGAGTAATGTAAAAATGACCTCCAAGAACCAAGAATCAAGATGATATACTAGGATACAGTGAGTTTCAGATTAAATGTAAAGTTTAGCTAATAAAAGAGTGGTAATAAAAACAATTCCACATTAAAAAAATCATTGTAAAATATACATTTAAGTTGTACACTGAATAATCGTATAGTTTTACATTTCTATCAATGGTATTCACTTAAAACTGTAACAGGTATGTATTATAAAGATAAGAAATGATTATATTTTTCATTTAGTATTAGGTATATCTCCCAGTGCTATCCCTCCCCCCTCCCCCAACCCCACAACATGTATACATATGTAACAAACCTGCACGTTGGGCACGTGTACCCTAAAACTTATAATAATAAAAAAAGATTATATTTTTATCCCTTCAATTCCAAAGTGCTTATTGAATAATTACAGAAACAATTGCTACTAATAGTTTTAGCTTTGACTTTTTATTATCAAACAATTATTTGACCGTTGTTCATCTATGCGTATATAATACGCAACCATATATACACAATACTCATCACACATATACAAACTCCACCATGCAAGAAAGAGCTAAATGGTTAAACGCACAATGGGCTTTTTCAGTGCAAGTCTAGCAATTTAAAGTAGAAGAAGGAAAAATGTCACAGAAATGCGCTGAGAAAAATGGGAGAGAGTGGTGCTGTTTTTCTCACATATACATATATCATTTATATAAATGTATCATCTGAGAGCATTTTGGAAACTCTTTTTCATTACCTTTCCACTTTGCTCACCTGAATAATCTTTGTATTCTCAATATTTATGCAATTGTTTTCTTTTTCAAGTATTTCTTTCCATGTTAAGTCATTTACTTTAGTAATCATTTTTTCTTTCATGTGTTTTACATGTATTTTGGCAATTCTCACTTATCTCTTTCTAAAGAAATATAAGCCTGTAGTTCTCCTCAGCACACTCTCACATCCCATACTGATCTCTATTATGACCTAGAAAAACAAAATGTATTGAAAGTCTCTTTTGTTAGTGGCTTATACATATTTTACATCTACTTTTCTAGCATCTTCTTAGTATAGCTAAAAATAAGATAATAAAAGTCACATGGTAAAAAAAAGATCATATATATGTATGCATTATGTGTGTGTGTATCTGTCATGGAATCAACTTTTTTTCTTGTAAAATTATGTGTATTTTTATAAGAAATTATATATTATTTATATATAATTATAAATATATATGCAATTATAATTATTTTATGTAATATATAATGCAAAAATATATATATTATATTACATATATTATGTATATATGTGTGTCTGTGTACATATCAAAGCCATCAAGGAATAGTTCTCTAGCAAGATGGAACTTAAAGTCTTATGCAAAGCAAATATGGAAGTAACAACCCATCACCTTTGATGTATTTTATTTGTTCTAAAGAAGCACAGCTCTAACCCACAATCTAGGAGAGGGGATTATACAGGAGCATAAATACAAGGAAGTAAGGACACGAAGGAATTAAACAAGGACAGATATATGGTCTGGCCATGTTGCCCAGGGTGGTCTCAGACTACTGGGTTCAAGTGATTCTCCCACCTCAGCCTCCCAAAGCACTGGGATTCCAGGCATCAGCCACTAGGCTCAGCCAAGGAGTCAACTCTTTAAGGTGATACATAGTATTATCAATTGTCAGGAGAACTCCATGGGAATACTGACCAAAAAAAAAAAAAAAAAAAAAATCCACACATAAATATTAACTCTATGTATTAGAAATTAGAATTTGTATCTATTTTCTTATTTATTTTCACATTCAAAGAGATAGCTATCTTGCCGCTTTATACTTTTTATCCAGTCCTGCCCACTTCCTTGTGGAGACAGCACCTAGTAATGCTGAGCCACCGACGCTTAACATCCTTTGTAGCCCATGTACCGAGTGTGTTCTCATGGCTTCATATGATTTCTTTGGTTTCTTAACTGTTCCAATGATAGACTAAAGCCCCGAGCCTAATGATATCAGCATGCTCTTGCACCAGCGTAAAGTTCAGCTCCCTGCTCTACTGCGTCCACGCTCCTTGGAGCGCCCCTTCCTTCAAACTAGTGATACCACATCAGCCCACTCCAGTTCCACCTCCAGGGCGCTGAACACCGACCCTGCAAAGAACTGCCGAGTCAGGGAAGGAGGTGTATAAGCCTTCTGATACCCATGAGTGAATATATATGTGTTTGTATGTAGACAGGTTGAGTGGGGAAAAAAGGAAATTGTTGTGATAATAAAATAAGTGGTTTAGAAATACTTTTCCTCTAGAAATAATTATTCCTTAAATTACTCCAAATTAACAAAAATGGTTAAGTTAACGTCAGCTTATGTTATAGGTGGGAGCATGTGTAAAATTACAAAATATGCTTTTAATTTGAAAATAGCATAATTAAAATATATTAATGATCTGCATTGATATAACTAAATCTATAGCTAGAAATGGCATTTCTCCTATGTACAATGGATCTACGCAAGTGCAATGTGTCCACTAACCTGTGGAAATGTGTTATGGATTTAGATTCAGTGTTGAGTCTATATAGCATCTCACAGTTCAGATCCTTTAGGGCAGCACTATTTACTGAAGCAGCATGGGACATTGTCACCTTTCAATGAAAATGCCTCGGATGTCATGTTACCACATTGCCTGTAGGACTTGCTTCACTGCTTTCTGGTAGGGTTATTTTCAATAAGGTATAAATAATTTATTAAAAAAGCACAAAAAGAGTATTTATGGTGTGTATTTATGTATATATTTCTATATATTAGCACAAAGTATCTCTGCATGTGTGCATTTTCATATATTAGCACAAAATGCCTCTCTCATGAGTGTGTGTGTACATACACATAGAGTATTCATTGGTAGAAATTTAGGTGACAAAATGTGGAAAAATTGAACATACTTTTAGCAATGTTGGGTGGTGCCATTGGAGTGGTCTCAAGGTCTTTCTGCAGTTTTGTATTACATAGATTTGTGGTTGCCTTATTAAGCGAAGTTTCTGATTGCATGTACTGCTGAAATATCTGCCTCTGTCATCAGCTCTCCTACTTCATTGTTATTCTCTTATTAGCACTTAACTCACGCAAAAGAAGAGAAAAAGAAATATCTATGTTAAAAATTGTTTTGATTTCAAGAGAGAGATTTTACAATTCTGAAACATTTTCTGTTTTAAACCCTGGTTTCTTGAATGCTTATATTTTCTTCTTCAGCCATTCTTCTACACAAATCTCAGATAAAAGTAATACTCAAGTTCTTCAGATAGATAATTTATCTAGTATTGCTAAAGCAGTCATGGTAGGTACATTGCATAGCAATGTGCATTAAAAATATAATTTATTTTAGGAATCTAGTTAGGGAAATGTTGCTCTCCTCAGAAATATTTTGCCTAGATACATAGAAATGGAGTGGTACTAATTGATTATACTGAAGAAGCTGTGATCCACAACCATCTTAAGCTGATATATTAAATTATAGAACTATTACAGCAGCACCAATGTCTACAGGATAATAAGACTAGAACCCCCATTTCTAACAACCAATAAAAAATGCAACTTACGAGAAAAACTTAAATGAAGCAATTTAAAAGTAAAGTTAGTAATGAAAAAATGTGTAGCACAAAGAAGAAATAACATTTTAAATTTTTTAAATAGTCTCAAAAAATAAGTCCTCAATTATATCAGCAGGTATCGGGTAAAGACAAATGTTAACAGGCTTAAATATTACTTTTTTCTCACTCAGTAAAAAAAGGATAATTTTTAACTGAAAAGATGTTAACTTAGAAAATGATCATCAAAAAGAGGAAAAAGGAATTAAATGTTGTTTAAGAAGCCAACAGACATATCAACAAGGTGGTGGAGCAGGAGATCCCAGCCTTCCTCCCAGATAAAAAAATTATAGTTAGACAGCTATCCACGAAGAAAAACAGCTCTGCCAGGAGCTCGGAAGTCCAGTTGAGAAGATGCAGCAGTGTACTGGGGCAAAATTATCTAAGAATGACACACAGAGGCTGGGAATGACAGCTTCGTGTTGCCTGCTTCAACCCATGCTCCACGCCACCCAGCTCAGTACCACGGACTGCACTGGTCCTGCGAGCTCCCCTCCTGGCGCACAGGAGAGCAGAGGGGCCACCATTTCCCTGGCTGTCGGGCTGTCCCTAAAGAACTGCTTTAGTTTCTTCCTGTCGAGATTGCATGGAAGATGGGCACAGCCAAGATGTCTGGAGCTTGCTAGGAACAAAGAAGGGTGAAGCTGCCAGGATTAACCAGGAGGAAGCCTCCCTGGTCTCCAGTGACCTGCTCTTCAGAGAACCCTGGCGTGTTTTTTTTTTTTTTTTTTTTTTTTTTTTACCTCCAAGGACCTCAATTGTCCTTATGGTCACTGAGGACACCACAACTGCTGGACCCTAGCAGCCTAAAACTTACATAGAACCACAAATGACTGCAATGAGCCTAAGCAATCTTGAGCAAGAACAACAAAGCTAGAGGTATCAAGTTCCCCAGCTGGACTTCAGATTATTGCAAAGCTGTAGTAATCCAAACAGCATGGTACTGGCACAAAAACAGACATACAGAACACTGGAACAGATTAGAGAGTCCAGAAATAAAACCACATATTAACAGACAACTGTTCTTTGACGAAGTTGCCAAGAACACACAATGGGGGCAGGATCATCTCCTTGAATAATGGTGTAGAGATGACTTGACGTCCACATGCAGAAGAATGAAATAAACCCTTATCTCACACCAAAGACAAAAATCAACTCAAAATTAACTAGAGATTTAAATGTAATACTATAGTGCTTAAAACTCCTAGAAGAAGACAGGGAAAAACCTTCTTGACATAGATCTTGGCAGTATTTTTTGGGGGGAATGTGATACCAAAAGCAGAAAAAAGAAAAGCAAAAATAGGCAAGTAGGACTACATCAAACTGATATACTTCTGTGTAGCAAAGGAAACAATCGCAAAGACATCCTATATAATGGGAGAAAATATTTGTATTTCATGTACTTGATAAGAGAATATACAAAATACATAAGGAATTTATACATCTCAATATGAAAACAAACAAATATGATTAAAAGATGGGCAAAAAGCCTAAATAGAAACTTCATAAAAGAAGTTTTCAAACAACCAACAGGTATATCATACGTTACTCAACATCTCTAACCACCAGGAAAATACAAATTAAAACCACACTGAGATACCTACTCAGACCTGATAGAAAGGGTCTTGTAAAACATTCAGAAGATGGCAAGTGTTGGTGAGGATGTGGAGAAAAGAGAACCCTTGTAAAATATTGGTAGGGATGTTCATTGGTGCAGAAACTGCGGAAAAGGGTATGGAAGGTCTTCCCAAAACTAAAAATAGAACTACCACATGATCTACCATCCCACTTCTGGGTACACATCCAAAGGAAATGAAGTCAGCATGTCAAAAAGACATCCATGCTCCCATGTTCGTTCCAGGGTAATTGACAATAGCTAAGACATGGAAACAAAATAGATACATGGGATTACATCAAACTAACATGTTTATGCACAGCAAACAACCCCTCAGCAGGTGAAAGGATAAAATGCAGTAAATATACACAGCAGAATATCATTCAATCATATAAAACAGAATATTCTCTCATTTATGACAACATGAATAAATCTAAAAGACATTACACTAAGTGAAACCAGCCAGACACAGAAAAACAAATGCTGTATGATCTCACATACATGTGGAATCTAAAATAGTCAAACTCATGGGAGTAGAGAGTACAGTGGGAATTACCAGAGCCTGGGGGCAGAGGTTGATCAGAGTATACAGTTTCAGTTATGCAGGAAGAATAAGTTTTAGAGATCTAATGTACAGCATAGGAACAACAGTTAACATTACTCTATCATGCACTTGCAATTTTCTCAGAGCAAAATCTTCAATCTTCTCACTACACATATACACACACACGCCTGCACACATACAAATGATAATTAAAGGTGATAGGTAGTTTTAATTATCTGGAATGAGATGATGATTTCACAGTATACACTGTTAAACAAAAATTATGGGAGGCCATTATTTGGGACTGAACTCCTTCATGAGGCCCCAACAGATCAGACAGAGCACAGTAGAGTCACTTGCATTAAGTATCAGACAAGTAAACTTGTCTGAACTTTGAACCAGGCCAGTTTTCAAAACCAACCAACAAACAAACAAGTGAGATTTACAGCGACTACTTAGGAGGGACCTCCATTTACCTGTGCCTGCATAAGAAAGTTCTGTTTTATTCCCATAGCAAAATAACTTTGAAACCACTAATCTTTTTATCCCTTATTTCTGCTTCCTTCGGCCTAAAAAGCCAGGTTTCTTTGCTTAAGTCATCAAAATACTAATTGTATTTTGCAGATTAAGGTATTGCCCACCTTATGCTATATTCATTTATTTGTGATCTAGACCTACAAATAAAACCTATAGGTCTTTAAGCTAAATTTGTTATGGTTTTGTCTTTTGACAAACATATATCAAAATATCTAGCTGTATGCCATAAATATATATAATTTTATATGTCAGTCATAGCTCAATAAAGCTGTTAAGAGAGACAAGCAAAAAGAAACTTCAATTATCTGCATGCAATTCTAATCTTAGCCAAAACAGGCATTCGTCAAGGGAACAGAAAGTTCATTACAGTGTGAAATAGAATATTAAACAAATATTAAACACACAAGGTCTACAGAGAAGCATCCCTGTCCAAATTATGTCAACACAGACTGTATAGACTAGAGTTTCAAGAGTATTTAATAATATTAATAAAGAGAGCTTTTCCATTAGTCTGTTCTCATGCTGCTAATAAAGACATACCTGAGACTGGGCAATCTATAAAGAAAAGAGGTTTAATCGACTCACAGTTCCACATGGCTGGGGAGGCCTCACAAACGTGGTGGAAGACACAAGAGGAGCAAGGTCATGTTTTACATGGCAGCAGGCAAGAGAGTCTGTGCAGGGGAACTCCCATTTATAAAACCATCAGATCTCTTGAGACCCATTTACTTCCAGGAGAACAGTATGGAGAAAACTGCCCCCCATGATTCAATTATCTCCACCTGGCCTTGGCCCTTGACACATGGGGATTATACAATTCAAGATGAGATGTGGGTGGGGGCACAACCAAGCCATATCACCATTTAAAAAGTAAACAGGTCTGGACAGTGGGCAAGGCAATTAAATAAAAAGCTTTATTGAAGCCAGAAAAGCAGTCATCATAAGACGTCATTAGTAAACTATCTCTTCTACCTGGATTTATCTATATACTCAGTGCCATCTTGATCAAAACTACACTAAATTCTTAGTAGACATTAGGAAGCTAATTCTAAAATGTATATTGAGAAGATAAGGATCTAGTTCAGCCAAGATCCTTAGCAAACATAATATTTGCAGATAAAATACTGCAGGTTTTAAAGCACTTTTCCTAAAGAGAAAATCAATTAAAAGGTGTTTCTGAGTTTTACCACTTCAAACGCTTAGAAATAAAGTCTCTTTTCCTTATGAATGCTGCAAAGAATGTGACATCCACCATAACTGAGAGGAAAATACCTCAATCTATTAATCTACTACATCACCCGCAGACTCTCTTCCCTGGTAACAGCAGCTGTGATAGGGAGTAGGAATGCAAGGCTGTGCATGTCCCCAGACCTTCTATTTAAGGAACAATACATTTAAGACTCTGGGGAAGAGACAAGAAGAAAAGTCCTGTTGCAGCAGGGTAGCTCAAAATGTTAACATCAGCCAGTGTAATTCACCATATCAGCACACTGAACAAAACACACATGACCGTCTGAATAGATGCAGAAAAAGCTTTAGACCAAATATAGCACATGTTCTTGATGAAAAACTCTCATAAAACTCAAAACTTCCTCAACCCTAAAAAGGTCTCTAGAGAAATGATCAAATAATTACACACACACACACATATATAATCTTGCTGTCTCTCTATGTGTATATATATATATATATATATATATATATACACATGTATATATATATATACATATACACTTGTGTATATGTATATACATATATACATGTGTATATATACACATGTATATATATACATATATATATACACGTGTGTGTGTGTGTATGTGTGTGTGTGTGTGTGTGTGTGTGTATATATATATATATATATATATATATATATATATATATATATATATATATATATTTATGTGAAGAAAAAGCTGAATGCCTATGTCCTAGGGTCATGGAAAAGATATGGCCCTAACCAATGAAATGAGATAGAGAAAGAAACAAACATGTAAAGGTTAGAAAGGAAGATATATATATACATGGTAAAACAGGATTATATATGTATATATATTTCTATATATACATATATAAGCCTGTTTTTATTTGCAGCTGACATGATTGCCTGTGTAAAAACTTTTTTTTTTTTTTTGGATGGAGTCTCACTCTGCCGCCCTGGCTGGAGTGCAGTGGCATGATGTCAGCTCACTGCAACCTCTGCTTCAAGCAATATTTTTGCCTCAGCCTCCTGAGTAGCTGGGACTACAGGTGTGTGCCAGCACTCCTGTCTAATTTTTTGTATTTTAGTAGGGATGGGGTTTCTCCATGTTGCCCAGGCTGGTCTCAAACTCCTGACCTCAAGTGATCCACCCCACTGGGCCTCCCAAAGTGCTGGGATTACAGGCATGAGCTACTGTGCCTGGCCTAGAAACTTTTTTAAAAGCCTGTAAAAAAAAAAAAAAAAAAAAAAAAAAGAACTATCACTAACATGTGAGCACAGTAAGAACACAGGATACAAGGTTAATATATACATAATTCATTGTATTTCTTCATACTAACACTGAATTATAAATGAAATTTAAATGACAAAGGACCATGATCATATGCATCAAATATATGAAATACTTACGGATAAATATAATAAAATATTTGCAAGATTTTCATGCTGAAAATTATGAAAACTTAATGAGATAAATAAAAAATCTAAATAAATTGACATATATACCATATTTAGGAATCAGAAGACTTAATTATGTAAGGATAGCTCTTCTACCCAGACTTATCTATATATTCAGTGCACTCTTGATCAAAACTACTCTAAATTCTTAGTAGACATTAGGAAGTTAATTCTAAAATGTGTACTGAAAAGATAAGGATCTAGTTTAGCCAAGACAATTTTGAAAAGAATAAAATTGGAGGACATACACTATTCGACTTCAAGCATTGCCACATGACAATAATCAAAATAGTGTGGTATTGGAGAAAGCATATTTGTATCAATTAATGGAACAGAACAGAATCCAAACAGGGATTGACCCACAAATATATGGTTAAATGATTTTTGATACAGGTGCCAAAATATTCAATGAAGAACAGAAAGTCTTCAAAACCAATGCAAGTGCAAGGATTGGACAGCTATCTGTGAACAATCCTTAGCCCACAGCTCAGACCATATGACCAAACTAACATGAAATAGACCACGGAGCTCAATAATAATCTATAAAACTTGAAGAAATCGAAAGAGAATGGTTGTGTGACTTCTGATTAGGCAAACTTTCAGATAGGATATAACATGCATGAAACATACAAGAAAAAAGGATGGAATTAACTTTATCAAAACTAAACCTTTAACTCTTTGAAAGACTGTTAACAAAATGAAGATAAGCAGCACACTGGAGCAAGTATTTGCAAAACATATAGCTGATAAAAGGCCTATATGACAATTGCACAAAGCACTTTCACAACTCAACAATAAGAAAACGTCCTATTAAAAAATAGGCAAACACATTTACATAGATATTCATTAAGGAAGAGAAAGAGGAAGTACATGAAAAGGTGCTCAACATCATTAGGGAAATGCAAATTACAACCAAAATAATCTACTACTACACTCCAATTAAAATGCAAAAATACAGAGTGTTGGAAAGATGTGGTACAGTAAGACCTCTCATACTTTGTTGGGAGGAGTGCAAAATGGTACAGTCATTTTGAAAAATAATTCGGTAGTTTCGTACAAAGTTAAAAATACATCTGCTGCACGACTTAGCAATCACAGTCTTAGGTATATACCTCAGAAAAATGAATAATTGTGTTCACAAAAGGACCTGCATTGAGTGTTTATAGCAGCCGTAGTTGAAATTGCCGAAAACTGAATACTACCGAATAGCCATGATGCAGTGAGAGGTTAAACATATGTGGGACATCCAGCAGTTCAGGGATGACAAAGAACCAACAATTGACATGCAGTAACGTGGACAAATCTCAAAGACAGTCAGCCAAGTCATAGAAGCCAGACTCATGGGGCCACATGCTGTATAATCTTATTTATACGACATGTTGAATCATGCCAAATTATAGGGACAGAGCTCAGATCAATGGTTGTCTGGGACTGCTGGTGGAAAGAGATGACTTATATCAAAAAAGTGAGAAAATAATTTTTAGTATGATTGAAACTTTTATATCTCAGTTGTCATAATGGGTACATGATTGTGTATATTTGTCAAAATTCATATAACTGTGTGCCTAAAAATGGTGACTTTAATGAATGCAAATTTTACTTCAATAAAACTGACCCCAAAATACTCAGAGGATTCAGTCAGACTTTGAAGTGCCTTCTGAATCATCAGGGAAGACTTCTTCAGCAATTTAACATGAACCGCTAAGTTTTATCCCATCTACTGTTACTTTTTGGAGTGCTGTGCATTTCTCAGGTACTCAAACAGTAGCTCTAGTTATTCTCCCACTAGAAAACAGCATGCCACAGCCAAATAAGTTTTTGCGATGTGTACTATAGAATTGAGGTAGGAGGCAGCACTCAACTCTGGAGGTGGGGCTCAGACACGGTACCAAATTGAGGACTAGCCAAAACAGGGTCGGAGTAGAAGCAGCTTTCGATGAGACACACCCACCAGTGTCTATGCCAATTTATCACTGCCATGGCAAACCCTAGAAGATACTTACCCTTTCCATGACAATGATCCAATGACTCAGAAGAAACTACCCCTTCCCTAGAAATTTCTGCATAAACAACCCCTTAATCTACACGCAATTAAACGTGAGTATAAAAATTAGCCGGGCGTGGTAGCAGGCGCCTGTAGTCCCAGCTACTCAGGAGGCTGAGTCAGGAGAATGACGTGAACCCGAGAGGCGGAGCTTGCAGTGAGCTGAGATCTTGCCACTGCACTCCAGCCTGGACGACACGGGAAGACTCCGTCTCAACAAAAAAAAAAAAAAAAAAAAAAAAAAGGAAAGACTAAAAGTGGGATTAAATTCCCACCACATAAAAATAGTAAAAAGAGTGACATATTAAACCGAAGAAAACATAAGGAACTACGTCACAAAAATAATTATGCAAATAAATGAAAAAAGCAACAGGAAAACAGCAAATCTAATTCATGAATTTAAACATTGTATTTGAAAAAAACAGCAAAATAGACCACTACCGAATTTAATCCATAAAAAAGGAGGGAAAGCAAATGTACAAAATAAGAAATGACAAAGCAGAAATAACTAATGAAAATGAAGGCATTACAAAAAATGATACTACTTTGATGACTTTTATGCAAATTAATTTTATATATTGCTCGATGATAGGCTGCTGGAAAATTAGAGAGTTGAGGAGTTACACGGACCAATTTCCACGGAAGAAAGAGAGAAAACTATACAGAAATGAGAAAGCAAGACCTATAGAGTTTCAAAGAGGATTTATACCAAATCTTAAAACACAAATATTCCCAATGGTCTAAAATTACTCTAGAGCAATAAAAGAGAAGACAACCTTTGTAACTTATCTTTATGAGGCAAATATTATACTGATACCTAAACCAGATGAAGCCAGTACAAAGAAATGAAGGTACAGACCAATATATTTTATAAATATCAGTGCAATAATTTTAAGCATAACCTTAGCCATTCGAATCCATCATCACTATGAAAAAATAATACTCCATGACCAACTTGCATTCCAGAAATGCAAATTCAGTTCAATATTAGAAATTCAGTTATATATATGTAATATTAATAAATCTAAGGAAAAATATACGGTCATCTCCAAAGTTGTGTAGAGGTCTTTTGCCAAAACTTAACACTTATTTATGATAAAACACTAAGAAAACAGAAACTGTGGAATAGTTCAACAATACATGTATATATGTATACTTTTATTCAGATATAGATATGTATGTACATGTACATATTCTGTGCTGTATATACTTTATGTATAGCACTGTGTATGTTTACTGTAGATGTATGTTTGTGTGCGTATGTGTATTTTTATATCTTAGTCTTAAAGCTAGTATCTTATTTACTGGAGAAAAAACGCTACTAGAATCACAAATGAGATCTGAAACAAGCATGCCCTGTATTGCCAAGATGATTCAATTTGATACTGAAGGCATTAGCCAGTACAATTGAATAAAATAAGCCAATTAGAAACATAAGAATGTATAAAGAAAGCATACAGCTACCTGTATTGCAGATGATAGGATGGTATACCTAGAAAATCCCAAAGAATATATAATAAAACTTACAAAACACTAAAATAATTCAGTGAAATAACAGACTATAAAATTAGCATACAAAACCCCACAGCCCTCATAAAAATAAACATATACAGAGAACATAACGGGAGAGAAAATATATATTTAACATAGCAATAAAGATGAGTAAAACCTAGAAATAAACTTAACAACAAATATAAAAAATCTTTTACAAGGTAAATATAAAAATAGTTCTTGCAAGACAAGAGATGTGAAGAAATGGAAGGCTATCCCTTATTCTAGGAGAAAAGGACTCAACATTATAAATATGTCAATTTTCTGTAAGCTCAATTAATTTCAATACAATCCCAATAGAAAACTCTACAAGCTATTTTATGAAGTTAGATAATTTGATGCAGAAGTTCCTATGGAAAAACAAACATGAAAGAATGGCTAGGTGCACAATGAAAAAGAAAAATCTATGAGTGGGAACCAACCCTGTCAGAGAGTCGAACATATTTTAAAGTCTCCAGTATTTAAATATCATGGCACTGATTCATGAATAGACAAATATACAAGTAGAATTGAAGAGAAAGTCCAGAGTCAGACCCAAATACTTTTGGAAACACAGAATATGGCCAAAATCTTATCTCAAATCACAGAGGTAAAGATGAAATCTTCAATGTATGGTGTTTGGACAAGTGGGTAGTCGTTTGCAAAAATATAATGTTCCATCAAATCTCAGCCAATAAACAATAACAAACTCCAAGTAGATTAGGGATATAAAGGCAAAAATCAAAGCTATACAAGCACTACAAAATAACATGAATCAATCTTTAACACTGGTGTAGGAGATGACTTTCTAACAATAAATGGTAATCTACAGTTAATAAGAAATGGATAAAATTAGCTACACAAAAATTTCTTTTTTAAAAATGAATAGCTGTTAGAACTTAATTAACTTTTTTAAAAATAAAAAAGTATTCCATTCTATATATACACCACATTTTCTTTATCTGTTGATAGACATTTACGTTGCTTCCCTGTCTTGGGTATTTTGAATGGTGCCGCAATGAACATGGGCTTGCTGACATTTCTTCAAGATCTCGATTTAAATTATTTTGGATAAATACCAGAAGTGGGATTGCTAGATCATATGACAGCTCTATTTTTAGTTTTTGAGGACTCTTGATAGAATAATATTCAATCTTAAGAAATAAGGAAATTCTGTAATATGCAACACCATGGATGAGCCTTGAGGAAATGCTAAGTGAAATACATCAGTTACTTAAATAAGCCAGAAAGGCAAATACTGCCTAATTTCACTTACATATCTAAAACAGTCAAATTCATAAAATCGAACAGTGAATGGTGGTTGTCAGGGGCTACAGAAGGGGGAAAATGGGAAGTTGCTGATCAAGGAGAATAAGGTTTCAGTCCAGCAAAGATGAATTAAATTCTAAAGGTCTGCTGTCCAACACTGTACATGTAGTTGACAATACTATATTTTACACTTGAAAACATGCTAAGAGGGTAGGTCTCATAGGTGTTCTTACCAAAATACAAAATAAAATAAGTGCATCATAGAAACATCATAAGCATAAGCAAAAGCCAACTTTCATTCTGGGAGGAAACAGTCTCCACATACACCAGAGGCAAAGGGTTAATACTCCCAATTCAGGAAGAACACTTACATATTGAGGGGCAAAGGGCTAAAGACGCCGTAGAGAAATGGAAAACTGCAGCGAACAACTAGGTCACAGAAACACAGATTACAATTTCCTTCAAATGTACCAACAAAATATTCACTTGTAGTTCTCAACAAGTTACAACAACCTGAGATATAATTTCTAACCAGTTAGACTGGTACAAATTATTGAAAATTAAACAACCCATTCTGCTGTGACGCTGTCAGGAATCAGGCATTCTCAAACTTTATTAATGAGAATGCAGAATGTTTCAACCCATCTAGAAGAAAACTTGCAGATACTTAAGGGAACCCAACCAAACAAAAAACCTACCTACATCTGCACTTAACCTTTGACTCAGCCATCTCACCTCTAATAATCTACCCTAAAGCTACAGCACCAACAATACAGAAATACAAATGCACACGGTTATATTTTGTAGCATTGTTTGGAATTACAAAATATTGGAAACATCTTCTATTCCTATATATGGAAGGTGTTTGAGCAACTAATAATTTATGCATCAACTGAGGTGCCTCTACAAAATAGGGCACTTTTCAGCTGTTTAAAATAAAATTATATACTCATATGAAGTGATTTTTACAAGGACATAATGTTAAATAAAACAAGCAAAGCACAAAAGGGTACTTACAGGATGCTATCCTTTATGTAAAAAAGGACATATACAGTATATATTTATTTGCTCATTTATACAAAAAGAAATGCAGGAAGTATACATGAGGAGGGGATTGATTACCTACAGTGTGCAGGAGGAAAAGTCATCGGGAGAGGTGTGAGTACAAACGGGAGGGAGGAGTAGGGATGAAGAGAAAGGGATGCATCTGTCTCTTATAGCACTGACTTTTCACAGTTCCACGTATCCTTCATATACCCAGAATTAAACAAAGAACTAAAAGCCACTAGCATGTGAGCTGAACCAAAAATAAAGTGTTAAGATTAACAAGTGAATCTATCTGAACGAATAATATGAGTGCCCTGAAAGGGGTGGCTAACTTTGAAAAGGATACCTTGACTGGGTATTGTAAAGCTAAAGGCTGTTTTACCTTAAGGATGTCATCTTGCGGATAATCTGCTTCTCCCAGAGATACGGATAAACAATTCTCAAAGTATATTTGTCGTAAAATTCAACAAATAAACATATTGTAGATAATAAGCACTGGGTTTGTTATGGTGAGAGAATAAGCTTACAACTAAAAAAAGGGGAGGGCGGGGTGCAGTGGCTCACGCCTGTAATCCCAGCACTTTGGGAGGCCGAGGCGGGTAGATCACTAGCTCAGGAGATAGATACTATCCTGGCTAACATGGTGAAACCCCGTCTCTACTAAAAATACAAAAGAATTAGCCAGGCGTGGGGGCGGCCGCCGGTAGTCCCAGCTACTTGCGAGGCTGAGGCAGGAGAATGGCCTGAATCCGGGAGACAGAGCTTGCAGTGAGCTGAGATCACGCCACTGCACTCCAGCCTGGGAGACAGAGTGAGACTCCGTCTCAAAAAAAAAAAAAAAAAAAAAAAAAAAAAAGAGAGAGAGAGAGAAAAGGGGAGATACTGGAATGAACCGTGGGGCATTGGTGTAGAATTTTAGTGATTCTGTCCTCACAAGACATGCATATATACACAAATGCATACACACAGAAAGATGATACAGAAAAGAGGCATAGGTGTATGACTGAGTTAGTATACACAAGCGCATTTCCTAACTGTCTGCTGAGAAGGCCTGGAAGAAATGACATGCTGTGATGTCTCCTATCTTAAAAAAAAGATCAATAAAAAGCGATGTCTTGACCTGCATCTCTGCATTTGCCTTCTCTCCTTTGTGGCAAAGCTTGTCAATAGAGACATCTGTACCCATCTATCTTCAATTGCTCTCCTCTCAGACTCTGTTAAATTTATAGCTATCTGGCTGTCACCTCTACCACTTGAAACAAACAAACAAACAAACAAACAAACAAACGCTCCTGTTAACATCATCAGTAACAGATGCTTTCTAAAGCACAGGGTCAGTCTCCAGTTCACATCAATTTTGACTGGTCAATATCATTTGACACACTCTGGAACTCCAGGTTGGCATACACACATGTGTGTACAACATCTGCAATTGGATCTTCAATACAGGTCTCCCAAACAACCTGTCTTCAAACCAACTCTCTGATACTCTACTCACAACCTGTTTCTCCTACAGCCTTCACCATCTGAATACAAGGAAATTCATCCTGCAAGTTGCTCAGGCCAAACACCAGCGTCATTCTTGATTCCTCTTTCTCTCCCAAACCATTAGCAGGGATGCTAGATCTGAAGCTTTCCCACTGCCTCCAGCACACAGCCCTAGTCCAGGCTGTCTTCACTCTCACCTGTTTTAAGGGCATACCTCTCATCCTCTACTCTCATCCTCTTTGCCAACTCAGTAGCCACAGTAAACTTTTAAAAGTAAACTGTATATTGAATATGACATATTTTGGCTTGATGGATTTTGCCAGGTAAACACCCTTGTGTGACCATAACCCAGAGGAAGAAATAACATGTTACAAGCTTCCCGGAACAGGTGTTAGGCCCAGCATCTCCACAAAGTAATGACTATGCTAACTTGTCGCTATTGGTAAGCTTTCTTAAAATCAGGTCTGAACCTTGAATAAATGGAATTAGAAAATGTATACTCTTATATTTGGATTCCTTAGAACAAAATTATTCCTGAGATTTATCAATGTTGTTCAATTATAATGGAAGTTAGTTTTATTTTTTCACTGAGGGATAGATTCCATTTTATGACTACTCCAAAATCTATTCATCTACATGAACCATTTTTGTAATTTATTTTTTAACTGGCAAGTAAGATTGTATACATTTATGGTGTACAACATATCGTTTTGATATACGCATACATTATGGAATGACTAAATCAACTTTTATTTCTTTCCAGTTTTAGGCTACTTAAATTATTTTGTTACAGACAACGTATAATATCCTTCGATGAATAAATACATGGTTTTCTTTTCAGTATTTTCTAGAAGTAGAATGTTGGCCTAGAAAGTAGACATAGTTTCAGTTTTGTAGAAACTGCAGGAGTTGTCCAATGTATTTGTGCCAATTTATCTCCCATCAGTAGTTGCTTCTCACACTCATGAACACTTGATGTGTTCAGTATTTAATTTTAAGCCACTCTGGTAGGTCTTAATTTCTATGACTCCAATAATTTAAAAAGTCAGCACTTTTATGATTGTGTTGGCTTTTTGTAAATCTTGTTCTGCTTTTACTTCTATTGGGTGATTTGTTGCTTATGGGGGTCTGCAGGAGGAATTCTTTATATATTCTGCTTCTGAATGGTTTTATTAAGAATTACTAGTATCACCTCTCATTCTGTGGAATGAATTTTCACTCCCTTAATAAAATCATTTTATGATAAAAAGTATCACTTTAGTGTAATTCATAGGTAGTTCTCTTTAGGTTAGTCCTTTTATTTTTTCTCCTGTTTAAGAAATCTGTGTCAATGCTAATTTCATAAAATACATGGAACTGGAATAGATTTTATGTATAATTTGATGTGTCAAGATTTTTGAAAATTAATATCCAATGGGCCTAGCATCATTTGTTACAAAAATGTCCTTTCTGCACATCACTGTAGCACAATCATTGTCATAAATCAAATTACAGAACATTTGGGAGTTTGGTTCTGGGCTTCCTATTCTATCTGTCTGTTTACCTAATGCTCAATCAATGCTCAGTGGTTTTAATGATTCTACCAATATTATAAGTCTTGACATTTGGTACCATAAACCCTTTGATTTTGTTATTGTCATATAAGGTTATTTTAGTTACTCTTGACCCTTTGAGCCCACATATGAATTTTAGAGTCAGTATGCCAATGACAATAAATAAACAAACAAACAGGCAAACTACCTTCTGGTATTTTCATTAGAGTTGCATCAAATGTTTTGATCAATAGGTGCAGAACTTTTCATATTAAGTGAAGTTCTGTTGACATTGAGTCTTCCAGTCAAAGAAGTTTCTCTATGTAGACTTTAATTCATGTTCACTGTGTTTTGTAGTTTTCTGCTTATAGAATATGCACATCTTTGTTAGTATCAGTTACTTGGTGCTTTACGTTATAAATAGTTTAAAATTTCATTTTCTAATTGCTTATTATAGAAATACAATATTTACACAGAAATACAATACTTAAGCTGACCTTATATTTAGTTTCTGCTAAATGTATAGTTTCAATTTATTTAGAATCCATATTGTTTGAGATTTTCTAAGAATCGTATTTTTTGTTCTTACCTTCAAATCACTGTGATTTCATTCTTTTTTCGCATGGTTTATTTTTCTGGCTGTGACTTTCATACAATGCTGGATAGAAATGGTGCGAGGAGACATCCTTGTTTCAATCCAGACCTCAGAATAAACATTTTTAATAATTTATGATTAAGGAAGTCCCCTCCGCCTCCTAGCTTGTCAATGTGTTTATAGTTGCTAGCTGTTGACTTTTTCATATGCTTTTTTTGGCATCCACTGAGACGACCTTAAATTTTGCTTTTTTATTTAGTAAGAAAATATAAATCAAGTGATTACCAAGTATTTAAAAGAATAAAAATAAATGCTTTCACAAATAAGCTACATGATTATGATTCAGCATCCTCTTTATATACTGATAAATTCAATTTGCTATTATTGTTTATTTTAAAATCTGTTTTCATGAGGACAATTGGTTTATAGCTTCTGGTTTTCCTACCTTTTCATGTCCTTATAATATTATGGTGTTCACAGATATGATGTTTCATAAAAGAAGTTGAAAATATCTCCCCTTCTTTTTTCGTTGTAATTTTTGTAAAGGAGTTTGAAAAAGAATGTTATTTCCTTCTTAAACATTTGGATGGACTCACTAGTGAAGCCATCTGGTCTTGCAGATTTCTTTGTGGGAAGTTTTTAGTACAGTTTCAAGATCTTGAATAAGTGTAGAAATGTTCCGATTTTTCTATTTCTTTTTGTGCTTGTAAAAGTATGTTTTTTCTATGAATTTGTCTATTTTATCTTTAAATTTGTAATTATTTGGCATATTTTCTTATTTTTTAAAGTCTGCAAAAATGGCAGGGTTTTTTTGTAATCCACTGTTAAATCATAAATATTAACTTGTGCTTTATCTCTTTATCACCGTGGCTAGGGTTGATTGATTTTTATTAGTTTTCAAAGAATCAACTTTTTACCTTGGTGATTTTTATATTGTATCTTATCTTCTGATTTTATTAATCTAATATGCTTATTAAACAACATTTAGACAATATCTGTCCTTTGAGTGCCTATTCCATTTTTATCACTGGAATATTACACATTATAAATATTTTAATGTTTATTTTTCATCCCAACTACTCTTGTTTTTCTCACCTTTCTTACTAAGCACTTTTTTAAAATTATGCCACAACAAGCTTGTAGTTGTAATTTATTTTCCCATTTTCAGTGTTATTACTTAGTCATTAAATTTGCACCTTTCACATAAATCATTACTTTAAGTTCATCCTTCTATCATAGATATAATATTCCAATGTCTCTACCACCTTCTATGAAATAATTGTTATAAAGCACTAAAGCAAAAAAAAACAAAGATAAAAAACAACAATTCCATGGCTCTGGAAATCAACCAGAGGAAGACTCAAATTCAGAAGCATTTAGTTTTGAAAGAATGACTAGATTTTTCACTAAGGCCATATGTTAGGCCAAAGAAAAGTCTTAAGAATGGTGAGAATCAGAGGCCTTGCCATGCCCAGCTCTATCGATTACAGATGTCAATTTGTCTAGGATAAGATTTGGTATTAGATGTGGTAAACTATTTGAGTTGGGAATGTAAACCCATGACTTTCCAAGCTAAAATTCAGAAATCGTCTGATGGTACAAAACTCACTGGTAAAAGTAAGTACACAGACAAACTGAGAGTATGATAACTCTACAGTTGTGGTGTGCACACTACTCAAACCTTGAGTAGAAAGACTAAATAATGAACATATTAAAAATAATAACTTCTCAAGACAGACAATATAAGATACAAATAGAACACAAATTTAAACAGCCAGAGGGATGAAGTAAAAATGTAGAACGTTTGTTAATTCTCTTTATTAGTTTATTGGTTTTTGCAATCAGTGTTAAGTTGTCATCAGTTTGAAATAATGGGTTTTAAGATGTTATTTGCAAGCCCCGTAGTAACCTCAAATTTAAAACCTACAACAGTAACACCAAAAATAAAAAGCAGTAAATGAAAACATACTAGCAGAGCAAACCACCATCACAAAAAAGAAGACGAGATGCAAAGAAGGAAGACGACCACAAAACAACCCGGAAGCAAATAATAAAAAATAAGTATTATTGATAAGTAATATTTACCTATCAATAATAGCACTAAATGTAAATGAATTGAACTCTGATCAAAAGATAGAGTGGCAGGATGTATTAAAAAAATACAAAACCCGATGATATGTTGTCTACAAGAAACACATTTCACCCATAGATATATACAAGCAGCCAAAAAATAAAGAGATGAAAGAAAATATTCCATGCAAATAGAAACAAAAAAAGCAGGATTAGCTATACTTGTAACACAATGGGCTTCAAAAGAAAAAATCTAAAAAGAAACCTAGAAGGTCATTATATAATGATAAAAGCATCAACTGAGAAAGAAAATATAACACTTGTAAATATATATGCACCCAGCATTTATATTTTTTGCTTTGTTAATAAAATGAAAAGTTGCTTTTTTGAAAAGTTAAACAAATTGACAAACCTTTAGCCAGACTAGGATAAAAAGAGAGAAAACTCAAAATCAGAGATGAAAAAATAGGCATTACAACTGATACTGCAAAAAGCCAGAGGATCATTAGAGACTACAATAAACTATATGCCAATAAATTGGAAAACCTAAATAAAGGAATAAATTTCTAGACACATACAACCTACCAAGATTGAATCATGAAGAACTCCACAGTCTAAATAGACCAACGACATGTAATGAGATCAAAGCCATAATAGTAAGTCTCCCAGCAAAGAAAAGTCTGGGACCCAGTGGCTTCACTGCTGAAGTCTACCACACACTTAAAGAATTCATAGCAATCCTACTCAAAAAATTTCAAAAAAATAGAGGAGGAAATACTTCCAAACTCCTGCTACGAGACCAGTATTATCCTGATTCTCAAACCAAAAAAGACGTATTAAGAAAACTGCAGACCATATTCCTGATGAATATTGATGCCAAAATCATCAACAAAGTACTAGCAAACTGACTTCAACAGTGCATTAAAAAGATCATATATCATGACGAAGCGGAATTTATTCCAGAGATGCAAGGATGGTTCAGCATAAGCAAATCAATCAATGCAATACATCATATCAACATTATAAAGGATAGAAGCCTTAAAATCATTTCAGTTGACGCTGAAAAAGCATTTGATAAATTCCAACATACCTTCATGATAAAAACAACTCAAAAATGGTAGAAGGAAGATACTTCAATACAATAAAAGCCATATATGACAGATCTACAGCTAGTATTATACTAAAAGGGAAAATTAAAAGCCTTTTCTCTAAAATCTGGAATTAGACAAGGATGCCAACTTTAACCACTGTTACTCAACATAATATTAGAAGTCCTAGATAGAGCAATCAGAGAAGAGAAAGAAATAAAGTGCAACTGAATTAAAATGGAAGAAATCACATTATTTTTCAGCACATTATGTGATATTGTATTTAGAAAAATCTAAAGAGTTCCCCAAAAAAAAAAAAAAAAAAAAAAAACAACTATTAGAACTGATAAACAAATATGGTAGATTTGCAGGACAAAAAATCAGCATGCAAAAATCAGTAGCATTTCTATATTCCAACTGCAAATAATCTAAAAAAAGAAATCAAATCATCCCATTTACAATAGCCAAAAATAAAATATCTAGGAATTAACCTAATCAAAAAAATGAAAAATTTCTACAATGAAAATTATAAAAATTGATGCAAGAAATTAAAGAGGACACAAAAAATGGAAAGATATTTCATATTTATGGGTTGGAAGAATCAATATTGTTAAAATGTCCATACTACCCAGAGAAGTCTACAGATTTAATGCAATTCCAGTCAAAATATCAAGGACATTCTTCACAGAGGTAGAAAAATATCCAAAAATTTATGTGAAACCACAAAGACCTAGACTACCCTCAGCCATTCTGGCCAGAAAGAATTACATTACCTGACTTCAAATTATATTACAGAGTATAATAACCAAAACAGCATGGTACTGGCATAAAATCAGACACTTCAACCCACAGAAAAGAGAATCCAGAAATAAACCTATATACCTACAATGAACTCATTTTTGACAAATATGCCAAAGACACACATTGGGGAAAGGACAGTCTCTTCAATAAATGGTGCTGGGAAAACTGGATACTCAGTTGCAAAAGGATAAAACTAGACCCCTATCTCTCTCCATATACAAAAATCAAATCAAAGTGTATTAAAAACTTAAATATAGTATCTCAAACTATGAAAGTACTAAAATAAAAGATTGAGGATGCTCTCAGGCCATTGGTATTGACAAAGATTTCTTTTATTTTTTGAGACACAGTCTTGCTCTGTCATCCAGTCTGGAGTGCAGTGGCATGAACACAGCTCACTGCAACCTCACCTCCCAGGCTCAAGTGATTCTCCTACCTCAGCCTCCCAAGCAGCTGGGATTACAGGCACAGGCCACCATGCCTGGCTAATTTTTGTATTTTTAATAGAGACAGGGTTTTGCCATGTTGGCCAGGCTGGGCTCGAACTCCAGGTGATCTGTCCACCTTGGCCTTCCAAAGTGATGAGATTATAGGCATGAGCCAGCATGCTTGGCAAAGATTTCTTGAGTAATATCCCCAGAGCACAGACAAATCAAAAATGGACAATTGTGATCACGTCAAGTTCAAAATCTTTTGCATAGCAAAGAAAACAATCAACAAAGTAAAGAGATCACCTACAGAATGGGAGAAAATATGTACAAACTACCCATCCAGTAAGAAAACAATAACCCGGATATATAAGCAGCTTAAACAACTCAATAGGAAAAAAACTAATTATGCAATATAAAAATGAGCAAAAGGTCTAAATAGACATTTCTCAAAAAAGGCATTCAAATGGCAAACAGGTATATGAAAATGTGGTCAACATCACTGATCACCAGAGAAATGCAAATCAAAACTATAATAATATATCATCTCCTCCCAGTAAAAATTGCTTTTATCCAAAAGAAAGGCAATATTGAATGCTGGTGAGGATGTGGACAAATGGGGAACCCTTGTACACTGCTGCTGGGGATGCAAAATGGTGCAGCTGTTATTAAGATTCCTTAAAAACTATAGATTGAACCACCACAAGATCCAACAATTCTACTACTGGGTATTTATCCAAAGGAAATGAAATCAGTATGTTGAAGAGTTATCTGCATTCCCAAGTTCATTGCAGCACTATTCACAATAGCCATGATTTGGATGAAACCTAAGTATCCATCAACAGATTAATGGATAAAGAAAATATGGTACCTATAGACAATGGGGTACCTATTCAGCTACTTAAAAAATGAGCTCCAGTTATTTGTGATAATACAGATGAAACTGGAGGAAATTATGTTAAGTAAAACATGCCAGGCATAGTAAGACAAACTTTGCATGTTCTCACTCACTTGTGGGTTCTAAAACTTAATACAATTGAACTGATGGAAATAGAGAGAATGATGGTTACCAGAGGCTGGGAAAGGTAATAGGTGGGGGGAGTGGGAAAAGTTAATGGGTACAAAAATATAATTAGATTGAATAAATAACGTTTAGTATTTTATAGCACAGCAGGGTGATTATAGTAAACAATAATTTATTGTAAATTTAAAAATAACTAAAATAATATAACTGGAAGGTTTTAACACAAAGAAATGAAGATCGCTAGAGGTGATGGATCCCCATATACCCCAATGTGACTTTTACACATTGTATGCCTGTATCAAAATACTTAATGTACTTCATATATATATGCATCTACTATGTACCCATAAAATAAAAAAAAATAATTTTTAAAGGGGAGGAGAAACAGAATGAGGAAGAATACATATTCAAAGAAAGGCTGACTGGAAAATTTACACATATGAATAAAAAGCAATTGCATATCTTGAAGGTCAATGACCCGAAATAAAATTAACAGAAAGAGAGTTACATCTACATAAAATGTAGTCAAATTGCTGAAAGACGAAAATACTAAAAATGGCAAAAGAAAAATTATTATGACCTAAAGATAAACAGCAATAAGAATAACAGCTGACTTTTCATCAGAAACAATGGAGACCAGAAGGCCTCACGATGACTTACTCAAAGTGCTGACAAAAAAATAAATAAATAAATAAAACATTTGGCAAGAACTCTATGTCCATTAAAAATAGTTTTCTAAAATGATGGTAAATAAAATAAATTTTGGGGCCAACAAACATTAAGATAATCCATTGCTAGCATAGCCATTCTAGAAAAACTACAAATGGAAGTTCCTCCTATGGAAAGGAAAATGACTCTAAATTATAAAACAATTTCACAGGAAAAAATGAAGAACACCAGAAGTAATAACATCTGCATTAATACTTTTACTCTTTTCTTTATATATTTTTTGAAATACAAGATTTAAAACAATTAAAACAGCACATTTTTGGATTTTAATCATCTAAGTGTGTATGTGTACGAACGTGACATATATGAAAACAGTACGAAATAAACGGGAAAGGGTAGATCTATATTGAAACAAAGTTGCTCTATTTCACCAGAATATAACCCACTTTTAACTTGTAGATGTTTTGTACTTATTTTAAATTTATTTATATATTTATTTAAAAGATTTCTTAAAGTAGTTTTATGTTTATATCAAAATTACTTTGAGGGTACAGAGATTTCCCACGTACCTGCTGTCCCCACATACACAGCCTCCCTGGTTATGAACATTCCCTACCAAAGAAGTATATTTTTTTGCAATTGATGAATCTACCCTGACACTTCTTTATTATCCAAAATCTACAGTTTACATTAGGGCTCACTCATGCTGTTGGACATTCTGCAGGTTTTGACAAATATATACTTGCATGTATCCACCATTATAGTATAATAAAGTGTATTTTTACTGTCCTAAAAGTTCTCTGTACTCCATCTATGTATCTCTCCCTGCCCCCAGCCCCAGGCAACCAGTGAAACTTTTCCTGTCCCTATAGCTTTGCCTTTCTCAGAGTGTCATGCAGTTGGAATTACACAGCATGCAGCCTCTTCACTTTTTTAGAGTCAATAAGGAGGAGGACAATTATCGGATTATATGGTGAGAGTATGGCTAGTAGTCTTATGTTACAAACAACCAAAATATCTTAATAAGTGGCTATAATGTTTCGCATTCCCACTGGCAATGAATGAAAGTTCATATTGTTCTGCATCCCTGCCAGCATTTGGTGTTGTAAGTGTTCAAGGTTTTGGGTCATTCCAATATGTGTATGGTGGCATCTCATTGTTTGAATTTGCATTTTCCTCATGAGATACTATGGAAAACATCTTTTCATATGCTTATTCTCATTTGGACATTTTGATGAAGTGTCTGTTCAGATCTTTTGCCCATTTTTAAATTAGGTTGCTTGTTTTATTGTTCGTGAGTTTTAAGTGTGCTTTGTGTATTTTAGATAACAGAGCTTTGTAAGATATGCGTTTTGAAAATATTTTCTTATAGTCTCTGGCTTTTTGTTTTCTTGAGGTTCTCTTTCATGGAGCAGAAGTTTTTAATTTTAACAAAGTCTAGCTTATTGATTTTTTCTTACATGGATCATGTCTTTGTTGTTATATTTAAAAACTCATTGCAAATCCTAAGGTCGTCTTTGTTGTTTCTGTCTAGGAATTTTAAAGTTTCACATTTTATATTTAGGTCTATGGTTTGAGTTGATTTTTGTGAAGGGTGTGAGGTGTCTAGACTCACCCTTTCTTATGTGGATGTGCAGTTGTTCTAGCATCATTTGTTGAAAAGACGATTTTTTGTCTACTGTATGTCCTTGGTCCTTTGCCAAAGATCAGTTTATATTTATGTGGTTTTCTTCCTGAGTTCTCTATTCTGTTCATTCATCTATTTGTCTAAGTCTATTCTTTCACCCTAATCATACTATCTTGATTACTGTAGCTTTATAATAAGCCTTGAGGTTGAGCAGTGTCATTCCCCTAACTTTGCTCTCCTACAGTATTGTGTTGGTTATCCTGAGTCTTTTGCCTCTATCCACAAAATAACTCACTGAGATTTTGACTACAATTGCATTGAGTCTGCAGACGAAATACAGAAGAACTGACATCTTGTCATTACTGACCTGTGGTAGATTTTGATAACTTACACAATTATATTGTAATCCCTACAGCAACCACTAAAACAATAAAGTGACATGACTAAAAGAAGCCACCGAGGAAATAAAGTGACACTAAAACATATCCGTATAACACATGAAAACACAAATAAAGGAAGAAAAGAACAAAAATGACATAAGACATGCAATTCAAATAGCAAAACTGTAGGCATAATTCCAATCAGATCAGCAGTTATATCAAATCTTAATAAATTGGACACTCCACTGAACATGCGGAGGCTATGCAACAAGTTAAAAATAAATATCCTGCTACATACTACCTTCAAGAGACAACTTTCACATTCAAAGATGCAAATAGGTCAAAATAAAGAAATTTAAAGATAAATATTTTTTACAAACTGTAAACATGAGATAATTATTTGTTTGTAAGTTTTTATTTGAATTTACCCAGCCTCCTGAGCTGTTTTCAGTATAAGTTTTGCTCTTCTACAAGTGAGTCTGTCTTACCAAAAGCAGATGTTCTTCGGAATGATGTTTCTAAAAATAGTAATATGTTACTCAGTCCCGTTCAAAACTTTCCAACGGCTTCCTGTCTCATTCTATGTAAAAGTCAAAACTCTTTCAACAACCATAGCTATCAGCAACCACAGTATCTATAAAGCTCACCTGCCACCTTTTGACCTTGTGTCCGACAATGTTCAACTCGCTCACTTTGCTCAGCTGCATGACCTTTCTTGCTGGTCTGCAAACCCTTATCTTCTAGACATTGCATTGCCTGCATTTACTGCTGGGATGGTTTTTCATCCACATCTATATCCAATTGCTTGTTGCCTATCTGCTATCCTCTTTTCACATAAATATAACTTCCTCAGTAGGGCCTTTCATGACTGGCTTATTTAAACTTATACCTACTTATCACAGCACTCCCTATCCCTTTACTGTTCTTTATTTTGCTCCAGAGCATTTACTGCAATCTAGCTTAGTATATGTTTTACTATTTTGCACCTTATCTAACAGCGTAGGCTGAATGAATGGTCCGGGAACGCACAGGTTTTATTCTGTTCAGGTCATTTCAAGATCATTCATGCAAAAACAGTACAGGGTACATTTTAAGTTGTCAATAAACAAATAGACGAATTCCGAACTATTAAAACAGTGTTTTAAAATAGTAGATGCTTTTTGCAATCATTCAACTCACAGGATATGTCTTATTTTTGCAGAACCTTTCTAATTATTTTCTCATTGAGCAGAGTCTACTAAACATGTGAATTGAAGGCCTAAAAAAATTCTACTGTGAAGATGGGCTAAATTGTAGAACTGCTAATGCCTTAAATAATATAATGTAAATAGCAATGAAGCCTGGATGTCTATATTCTAATAAGTAAATCTACATCTCTACCTATCTATCTATCTATCCGTATGTATGTGTTTGTGAGCTTCATATATATGTGAAAATTATAAAATAAAAATATATAAAACATAAATATATTAGTTTTAAGTTCACAGCAAAATTAAGAGAAAGTACGGAGTGTTACCATATGCCTCCGGATCCCACACAAGCACAGCCTACCCACGGCCACATTCCCACTAGAGCCGTGCATTTGGCACTATCACCTACTTTGACATTTCTTTGTCATCTGAAATTCACAGTTTACCATAGGGTTCACTCTTGGTATTGTACATTCAATGGGTTTTGACACATGTATGATAACATGTACCCACCACTGTAATATCATACAGGATATTTCACTGCCCTGAAAAATCCTCCACCTATTCATCCCTCTCCTTACTCTACCCCTGGCAAACATGATCTTTTTCCTGTCACTGTAGTTTTGCCTTTTCCAGAATATCATCGAATTGGAATCACACAGTATGGAGCCTTTTCCTATTGGCTACTTAAATATATTTAAGTTTCTTTTATGTTTGTATATGGCTTGATAGATTATTTCCTTTCAGTACTGAGTAATATTTCATTGTCAGGATGTCCCACTTTCAGTATGTTTTAAAGTATTTATTATTTCTCAACACTCTAGTTGTTGATAAACTTCTATTTTTTTTTCCTCAGACGCACTCAGAAGCACTGGCATGACAGGCATGGTATAAGTAAGTACCGGGGTACTTCCAACTGCGTAGATAAGTTTACTCTCAGAGGTTAAATTACACAAGTGAGTTATGTGAATCAGGCTGCCTTCGTAACTTACGTGAAATCACCATTTTCTGAACACTTCCTTTTCCCCTCAAGACCTTGCTCACGTGTTAAACGTTGCATGGAGTCACTGCACTGAGACAATTTGGTCACCAAGAAGGTGCTGAATCTGTTGGGCCCTTATTTTTCATTGATTCTGTATTATTATAATATTCCCTGTCAGGCAGACCAGAGTATTAACGCCGGGAGATGCTACATTGCCTTCCTTGCTTTTAACATATATTTAACTACCCACGCTGTTGCTTCAAGATATCTCTCTCTGAAGTGGATAAGCTCTTCTTATAACTGAAATTAATTTCTCTTTCTGTTAAACTCCTTCTATCATTTTATGAACACTAAGCTAGACGGTTATCACACAAGGATTTAAACTGTAATTCAGCACATATTATAGGCTTAAAACTATAGTTTATAATATCTTCCACATTTGTCTTTCCTTTTCCTTTTTCTCTTTCATTCTCTGAAAACAGAAAATGAATCTTAACTCTGTATCTGCATTTTTTTTGGAAAATCTGTTAAAATCTGAGGTATTGATAAGTTAGATGCCTTTATTCCTTCACTATCTAATTTATGGCAAATTCATCAGAACTGTTACATTCCAAATAGGCAAAATAAAAAAAAATATAAATACTGAAGGATCAACTGACATGCAAATCATCTTGTTAGCTGTAAAAATGAGTAACACAGACAAAAGCATTTTGCTGTTGCTTTTGAGAGGAAACGAAGTAGATATCTGAAAGCTTGGTCTTATTTCAAGAAAATATATCACAGAATTACTGTATTTTTTTCTAGTAGAATGCAATGAAAGGCCATGTGGATATAAACTGAAGAGAAGGATCATAATATTTAATGGCCTTGCTTATTAAACACTTTATGTACTAAGAGATTTTACTTTGTTTTAATCAAAATTAAATTAGTTTGTAGAAAAAGTGGATACAAGATAAAAAGAACCTCTTAAAAACCTGTTGCAACGATCATTTTATGACACTTTGTTTCTCCTGACAGTACTTTGCTGGGGCTTCATGGTAAAATCTGCTGTCAGCACTGGGGATTTGGGCGGCCCCCTTGGTGGACTTAGGTGCTCTTGACCTTTGGTTTGGATGAAGATCATTCATTTGATGTTTTATTTTTGGTTCTGATTTCCACTGAAAGTGTGAATCTCAGGGGAAAGGTGTCCCTTGGGCATTTAATTTTTCCATGAGATGGGACTACAAAGTCTGACCTATTTCACAAAAATGTCTTTAGAATGAATTCTTGCAAAAAAAGTTTAAGGTGCAAACAAGCTGCAAAGTGGTTTGCATGGCTTGCCTGGGGTGAGGTAGCTCATGGCAGGAACGTAAAGACAAGTCCAGTACACGGATCAAAACCTCTCATCACTCATCATTAGCAAGTCAGTGGGGGGCTTGGAATCTCCTTGAAGTCACAAATGTTGAGTGCATTCTACTTTTCCATAGACATTCAAGCAATATTAACAAAGGAGCTATTTGAACTTTGATGAGAATTATTACACATGGAAGGCTGAAGATTTTTCTGAAGCAGCAGTTAATTCTGGCAAACAGATCCATTGTTTAAAACTAGCAGCATCATATAATTTTAGAGCTGGAATAACATCTGAGATCATTTATTTCTACAACTTAATTTTAATGCTAACAAAACCAACAGCCAAAACACGGGATGGCCTAAGATAACACAGTCCACTTGTTCCAGAATGGGATGGAGCCTTGGTTTCTAATCACCACACCATGCGGATGGCCCCTGAAAGTCACTGTCAGCACAGACGTCAGTTTCAGGATAACACAAGTGTCTACACTAGAAAGGTAAAAGACTCACTTTCAAAAACTTTAAAAAGAGGAGAATAAATTTACCTACTCAAAGTAAAAAATATTAGGCAACTCTTCTTACTAGGCATCAGGGGAAGGAAGTGATGGTCTCTTTAGTGCTTATTTTATTTCTGACAGTAGACAAAACCAACAGAGCCATGCTGACATGTGGTCTCCAAGATTTAAATATGGCCTGTAAGGGTGACTTTGGAAATGCTTTAGGTTGCACAGCGCTATAGGTGTCAGAGCTCTAATGCTGCTACTGTGTGTCTGAGTCTCCAAGCCCTCTTGTGAATTAGGCAGAACCAGTAAGTGTAACCCGATGTGCAGATGAGCAAATCACTTGCCACCATCCACACAGCAGATTTACAAAAAATGATATACAGGGATATCAGAGATCAGTCCAGTCCCCTACACAACACATCCATCCAACAAATAACACTGGAGTGTACAGGAGGTAAGAGGCTGAATGTTGTGTAGCTAACATCAGAATATGAAGCGTGTTCTTCAGCACGCAAATGGGTCAGGACATTAGAGGTCAAGTATGTTGATCCCTATATGCATACACTGTAAAAAAAAGAAACTGCTGTCACGAATTTGAGAGAGAATGGGACCTACATGCATATCTTTCCTCCATGTAACAGGTGTGTTTGTGAAATCTGTGGTGCACACACGTGCACACTGTGTGCATGTGTGTGTGCATATGTGTACGTGTGTGTATGTGTGTATATGTTTGTGTATATATGTATATATGTAAGATGTGGGTCTATGTGTACATATACATATACGTATATGTATACATATGTTGCTTGTGTGTACTTGTGTGTATATACGTACACACACATAGAGAAATTATATATATTATATATATATACACATATATACTTTATATTATGTATATAAAAATGGCTTATGCTTTCTGGGGAGCTCTGAGACATTTTTCCTCTGAGCTCAGCTGAAGCCATATGGTCTGTACTGTGAAAGTCAAAGGCAAACACCAGTAGTAACACTGTCCTTGCCATCTGCCTTCCTCCTTGCAGCATCCATGATCTATGTCACTTTTTTGACCAAGGACAAGCAGGTCTGGAAGGCGAGTAACGCGGTACAAGCACACTTGCCTTCCTTCTTTCACCTGGGCCCATGTTCATCATGAGAAGGGCTTGCACACTGCACTCAGCGATTGTGAGGGGAGCGTGTGACCTCCACTGCTTTCAAGAATCCTTGTTCATAAGATATTTTAAGGGAATTTCAATTTGCAACTTTTAATGAACAGCCTACCTCATTCCTACAGAATTGGTTAGTGGCCCATTTTTCAAACTGCTAATGCAAAGTTAATTAGTTACTGAATTTAGCTGATTTGGGAGCTATCAACAGAGATTGTGGCACTGTTTTAAGTCCTCTCCCGGACTTCCAGACATATAAATTAAAAACTAAATGTTTATCTCTAATTTGCAAGATAGATTACCTATTCATGTAGCGCCCTATGGTGTTATGCTGGTATTCAAAATAAGTCCACCTCACTCCCCTCTGCCCTATTTTTCATTAATATTATAAAAATGGTGTTTTGTCTTATGCCATGGGAGTTTCCTGTAGGCACCTAATAACTTATTGAACAGTTAATCTAATTCTGTGGCTATTGCTTATTGTGGGAAAACTTTGCAAAGGTTTTACATATTAAGTGCTACCGCATCCTTAGCACTTATATATGAATGCATCTCCTACACCAAATCAACTTGGAGCATGCAGCTCATTTTATTTCCCTCACTAGAAATGCACTAAGCTGACTCAATTGTCTTATCTTGCTGGCCGGCTAAAAGAAGTGATTCACAAACCAGCCAAGGTTGTCCCCACTTAGCCAGAAGCAATGAAACGTGGCTTTCTAGAGCAGTGTATTTGTCCATTTTCATACTGCTATAAAGAAATACCTGGAACTGGGTACATTATGAAGAAAAGAAACTGAATTGGCTCACGGTTCCCCAAGCTATACAGGAAGCATGGCTGGGGAGGCCTCAGGAAACTTACAATCACGGAGGAAGGCGAAGGGGAAGCAGGTTTGTCTTGCATGGCCAGAGCAGGAGGAAGAGAGGGAGGCGGGAGGTGCCACACACTTTAAACAACTAGATGCTGTGGGAAATCACTCACTCTTGTGAGAACAGCACCAAAGAAGAAACCCAACCCCACTGAGAGGTGAAGCCAGCTGGACTTCCTAGGTGGAATGGGGACTTGGAGAACTTTTCTGTCTAGCTAGAAGATTCTAAACACACCAATCAGCCATCTGTGCCTACCTGAAGGATTCTAAACGCACCAATCAGCGCTCTACGGCTAAAGGATTGTAAATGCACCAATCAGCACTCTGTAAAAACACACCAATCAGTGCTCTGTGTCTAGCTAAAGGATTGTAAATGCACCAATCAGCACTCCATAAAATGGAACAATCAGCGCTCTGTAAAATGGACCAATCACCAGGACATGGGCGGGGATAAATTAGGGAATAAAAGCTGGCCACCCCAGCCAGCAGTGGTAACCTACTCAAGTCCCCTTCCAAGCTGTGGGAGCTTTGTTCATTCGCTCTTCACAATACATCTTGCTACTGCTCACTCTTTGTGCCTACACTACCTTTATGAGCTATAACACTCACCATGACGGTCTGCAGCTTCATTCCTGAAGTCAGTGAGACCACGAACCTACCGGGAGGAACAAACAACTCTGGACATGCCACCTTTAAGAGCTGTAACACTCACTGCGAAGGTCTGCGACTTCACTCCTTAAGTCAGCAAGACCACGAACCCATCAGAAGGAAGAAACTCTGGACATATCTGAACATCTGGAGAAACAAACTCCGGACACACCATCTTGAAGAGCTGTAACACTCACCACAAACATCTGCAGCTCCATTCTTGAAGTCAGTGAGACCAAGAACCCACCATAAGGAATACATTTCAGACACATCATGATCTAATTACCTCCCACCAGGCGCCATCTCCAACACTGGGAATTACAATTCCACATTTGGACGAGGACACAGACTCAAACCATATCAAGCAGATGTAACTACTCCAGCCTCAAACAGTCCTCAAGCCATTCTCTTTCACCCAAAATCGTAAGCAGTTCAGTTTAGTCAGGCAAACTTCCGTAGCCAACTGATGTCAGAATTTGAATGTGAAAAATATTCCTGCAATACATAGTGAGAGGTATTTTTTCGATTATCTACTAAAAATGTTGAGTAGTGTTTATTCCTGCTCCTAATTTTGATATCTAGGAAGAATTAAATGCACATCTGTATTTTATTTATTTACTATTATTTTTTTTTTGGAGATGGGGTCTCTGTCTCGCAGGCTGGAACGCAGTGGTGCAATCTCAGCTCACTGCAACCTCTGCCTCCTAGATTCCAGCAATTCTCCTGCCTCAGCCTTCCTAGTAGCTGGGACTACAGGTGAGCACCATCACGCCCAGCTAATTTTTGTATTTTTAGTGGAGACGGGGTTTCACCATGTTGGCCAAGCTGGTCTCGATCTCCTGACCTCGTGATCCGACTGCTTCAGCCTCCCAAAGTACTGTAATTACAGGTGTGAGCCACTGCGCCCGGCCCACATCTTCATCTGATTCTCACTCCAATGGTAAGTGAAACTATTTGCAAGAATATGGAAATACTGGAAACTACTCTATGAATGGTGACTGTGTCAAGTATTACCTGAACAAGGACTATTCATTTTCTTCCTCTTTCCTTATTTCTGTTATTTCCTGATTTGGTTTGGATATTTGTCTCCACCAAGTCCCATGGTGAAATCTGATCCCCAGTGTTGGAGATGGGGACTGGTGGGAGGTGCTTGGATCATGGGAGCAAATCCCTCATAAATAACTTGGTCTTGTCCTCAGGACACTGAGTGAGTTCTCCTGAGACCTGCTTGTTTACAAACGTGTGGCACTTTTTTCTCCCTTGCCCCTGCTTTGCTTTATGCCATGATCGGAAGCTTCCCGACGCCTCACCAGAAGCTGAGCAGGTGTTGGTGCCATGCTTCCTGTACAGCCTGCAGAACCGTTAGCCAGTTAGACTTCTTTCCTCCATAAATGACCCAGACACAAATATTTCTTTATAGCAATGAAGACTGCCCGAGGACACTTCCTTACTTCATTCTTTGCTCCTTTTCTTCCTCCTCACCCCTTTTTGTTCCTTCCACCTCGTCTTTTATAAATGGCTGAGCATCTGCTACCTGCCAAACACCAGAAATCACTGGCACACAACAGTCGAGGAGTCGAGGTGCCTGCTGTGTTGGAGCTCAGAGTAGAAAGGTAAATAACACAGGTGGGGGGTCACAAGACAGGGAAACTGAAGAAGCTGAAGGTCAGACACATGGTGGTAAGTAACAATCAACAGCCCAGCAGAAAATAGGAAGAAACAAGTAATAAAAATGCCAGGTGTGAGGTCAGCTCTGGGGATGTTCTTGCTGAGTTTCAATCCCCAGTTTAGCCTTGGCTTCTTGAAAGGCCAAAGACTTGACTGATCCTAGACACCCACCAATACTTGGCCTGCCTCCTTCTAACTCTGCCTGTGCCTTTGTCAGGGGCAAGGACTCCCGGGGCCTCTGCTACCCTGGCATTCACCATCACAAGTCAAGTCAGAGAAGGGCCACGGAGATGCTGAGGTCGATGGGCTGGAAGCTGAGGGGGCTCATCCTTCAGGCTGAGGCTGACGTACAGGGCTGCACCTTCTCGGTTGCCTCAGTGGGACAGAAACTTGTGGTCTCTAGACATAAGAGAGTGTGGGCTGAGGGGAGCTTTAACTGATCACGGAGGATGGTCTGTTAGTTACTTTAAGGAACATTTTGCAAACCTTGACAACCTGAGTGAACAACTGATGCAATAAGTTGTGAGAACACACTGCCCACAGTTGAACTCTTGGGTTTCAGCCCAGAAATAAATTTCGTGCTGCGGAGACTGCAACATTCAACACAGCGTAACACGCAGGAGCACTGGAAAGTCTTCAAACAGTGCTCTCTTTTTCTCTCATAGATTCTGCTGTCCAAGACAAACAGAAACACCTTTCCAGAGCTATCTCCCTTGGGAATAGCCATTCTCCTGCTCATTTTCTTGCTTTAAAGATGTTATTTACTTAAATGTTCTCACCACAAAACAGAACAAAACAAAACAGAGTGATACCTAGGTGAAGCCCATGGTGTGCTAACTAAATTTTTGTAATCATTTCACCAAATCTAATGTCTATCCAATAAACAGCATCTAACTGTTTTTAAAAAGGAAATTCCAAAATGAAACAATCAGAAAATTTTTTTCTGTGATTTTTTTACTTTTTAGGAAAGATGTGAAACAAATCAAAGTATTAACGTGTGTTGAAACCTGATACAGTACAGGGAAGTGTATTACCTTAAACTATGTACTGATAGAGTACAGGGATGCCTATTATTCTATGTACCAATGGAGTACAGGAATGACGATTAGCTTATTCTATGCACTTACAGAGTACAGGGATGTCTATTACCATATTCTATGTATTGATAGAGTACAGGGATGTCTATTACCATATTCTATGTACTGATAGAGTACAGGGATGTCTAGTACCTTATTCTATGTACTGATAGAGTACAGGGATGTGTAGTACCTTATTCTATGTACTGATAGAGTACCGATAAGTCTATTACCATATTCTACGTACTGATAGAGTACAGGGATGTCTATTACCTTATTCTATGTACGATAGAGCACAGGGATGTCTATTACCTTATTCTATGTACTGATAGAGTACAAGGATGTCTATTACCTTATTCTATGTATTTTTCTATTTGAACTGCTCTAACATAACAATAAAAATTTTAGATACATACGTTGAAAAGTTGAGAGTTAGAAACATTTTTGAGCAAGTTATATAAGCTAAATTGACAATTCTCAGCTGTTTTGTGAAATTCTTGCTTTTCCAATAGGCAAAATAATATATTGGTACAAATTTATCATGACAAATGAAAATTGTAATTTATACGATTTTTCAGAGTGGGTTTAAAAATATAGTGGTAGAATAAAATTGATTTACTTGAAAAAAAAATGACATAAAGACCCGAGAAGGTAAGTGATCCATCAGTGCTCTCATTTGAAAGCAACTTTAGCCCTGAAAGCTGTGTGATCGGGTGTCTATGGTTAATATTTACGTGTGAAAATCTCAAGCTTCTCTGTTTCCTTTAAAATCATATTATTCCTGCGTACTATGATCATTGAGATATCCCATTGATGCTGGGCATGTCCTCTCCACAGTGCCTTCTGAAACCTCAAAGGAGATTTGACGCCAGTGTGCCTCACACCCCTGAGGACAGGGCTCAGAAAGAGCTTTTTGTCTTCAATATTTCACATAATTTTTGGATTTCCTCCATCTTTTCAATGTTGTTGATCACATTTTAGCGATCACATTTGAGAGAAACTCTCACACCTTCATTGTAGGACAGGCACAGTGGCTCACACACACCTGTAATCCTAGCACTTTGGGAGGTTGAGGTGCGTGGATCATCTGAGGTCAGCAGTTCAAGACCAGCCTAGCCAACATGGTGAAATCCCATCTCTACTAAAAGTACAAAAATTAACCAGGTGTGATGGTAGGCACCTGTAATCTCAGCTACTTGGGAGGTTGAGGCAGGAGAATTGCTTGAACCTGGGAGGCAGAGGTTGCAGTGAGCCGATATTGCACCACCGCCCTCCAGGCTGGGTGACACAGTGAGACTCTTTCTCAAAAACAAAGAAACAAACTTCATTGTAGAACTGTCTCCTCCTTCTTATGTCCTGGTAAATTGGATAAGGTTAGCTATAAATAAATCAGAAAGTCACTTGGCTTTTTCTTTCTCCATAGCCTAAAGCAGTCCATCCTTCTCACCACAGCCCATATAAAAGTAACCATCCTAACAGCCTCTGCACCTCACCTGAATTCCCACTAAATGTTTCTTCTCTCCATTCCATGAGAGTCAGTTTACAGGGGAGGAAACTGTGTCACAGACTTTCTTCACTTGTCCAATATTTCTAAACAAAGCAATGGCACAACCAAGAGGAATGTCCAATTTCATTCAATTCCAAACCCATGTTCCTACTATGTCACATTTCTCTCATCTTTGTTTTTCATATAAAAAAAAATCACACAAACCTATGACTTTTAAAGCTAAGGAAATTGACAGCAACATCTGCCTTTTTTATACCTCTGCAGTATAATATTTCTCTGTCATATTATAGAGTTTTATTACGTTTTCATCATAAAACACGTTCTTTGTAATACTTTAAGTGATTTAGCAGCTCCAGGATACAAGCTGCACAAAATTATTTCCATCTTACAGTTATAAAATTGAAAGCATCTTTACCAAGTCCCATTTTTAACAACAACAACAAAGAAACCAGCTCTCAAGCTCAATGCTCTTTTCCTATTATCTAATGGCAAAAACTGCAATTACGTTTGCACTAACCTAATAATATGGGAATCTCTGCCATCTTTGAATTTATCTGCAATTTTTCCACATTGCTTCTCTCACTTACGGTTCAACCAGATGTCTGTGTTTAGCAATCATGATGCTTTTTGGTATTTCTCTTTAGGAGATGGTGGTATCGAGGATAGAGCAGGGAAAAGTTGCAGCAGCTCTCTGGATTTGGCTTTTTTTTTGCACCCCATCACTTTTGCACTTCCTTTTTCACTGTTGTTAGCTCTTCCTTCTTTTGTGCTGTACATATGAGCATTACTCAATGTCTCTTCTTTTTTCCTCTCCATCTATATCTATATTTCATTTCCAACTCTGTCTTTAAACAAAAATGTGCAAATTAAATCTCCATTTTTGCCCATGGCTATAGACTAATTTTTTGTGTCTCCTAAAATTTGTATGTTGAAGCTTAAATTCTCAGTATGATAGTATTTGGAGGTAAGTTATCTGAGAGGTGATTAGGCATGAAGGTGTAGCCCTCATGAATGAAAGCAGTGCCAGTGTAAAAGACACCCTGGCAGAGAACTGGTCCATTAAAGCCATAGGAGGCACAGTGAGAAGATGGTCACTTCTGAACCAGAGAGTAGGGTATCAGCACACCTGAAATCTGCTGGCACCTTGATTTTGGACTTCTCAGCCTCCACAACTATGATAAATGTCTGTTGTTTATAAGTGATATGGTTTGGCTGTGTCCCCACCCAAATCTCAACTTGGATGTTATCTCCCAGAATTCCCTTAGGTTATGGGAGGGATCCACAGGGAGTTATTTCACGGGGCCGGTCTTTCCCATGCTGTTCTTGCAATAGTGAATAAGTCTCACAAGCTCTGATGGGCTTTTCAGCGGTGTCCCCTTTTCCTTCCTCATTTTTCTCTTGGTGCCAACATGGAAGAGGTGCCTTTCGCCTCCTGCTGTGATTCTGAGGCTTCCCCCAGCCATGTGGAACTGTAAGTCCAATGAAACCTCTTTTTGTTCCCAGTTTCAGGTATGTCTTTATCAGCAGCATAAAAAGAAACTAATACAATAAGCCACCCAGTTTATATATTTTGACATAGTAGCCTGATCCGACATACCTCCCTCTCAATGTGCAGTCCAACACTGTCAACTGGATAACATCTGAACTTGAAAGCAATACTCATTGCCTCCCACCCAATGAAACTTGTTTCTGACTGCTTTGTTTCCAAACATGTTACTATCATTCATCCCAATACTTTAAGAACGATGGAATTTTCTGTGTTTTCTTCTTTATTCCTCATGTGCCATCCACAGGTAAATCTTACTCCAAAGTGGTGCTAACATGTACAGGGCAGGATATAAACACATTGCTTAACAGGAAAAAAAGTATTTGCTATCTCTTTATTGTCTTTATATATTAAGAGAAGAGAGTGAAATCCTTTACCATCAATGCCTGTAAAAAGTGGCAGACCATTTCCTTTCTGTTTTTTGTATAATAAAGGACCACAAATAAGAGAATTATGTCTTCTAGTTAGGCCAGGACAATCCCAACTGTTCTTTGTACCACCGTAATTAATAATAGTGTTCTGCTTTATTTTAAAAAATGTCTTTGCTGGGTCTTTAAATGACATGCTTAGCCCAGCCACAATGTTCTCTTGAAAAAGAGAGAAGATTTTATGTGTCATACTAGGCAGTAGTGATGAGAGTGGAGACAAAACCTGAGACAGCTGGAGGAGGCGAGAAGAGTTACCAGATGGAGGCTGCAATCTGGGAAGCATATCTCAGGGAATCCCAAAAAGGAGAAGGCCTACCACCTAGCAAGAGCCATATGGAGCATCATTGCACAGAATGAACACGAAGGGCTTTGCTCGACTGCCCAGCAATCTCTGAAGAGGTTGATACTCACACTGAAGACATCCCATCCATCCTCTTGTGAGCTGAATGATATTCCCTCCTGCCTCAATTACTTCCCTGCTGCATTGCTACCTTTCAATAACGCGTCACTATTTTTTCTCTTTCTTACTGAGTAATTAACGCAAACAAGCACCATTAAAAATCATTTACTCCTGGCCATAGGGGAGTCGAATTACCATCAGCTTCCAGTAAAATGTAAGTATACCATTCTCTCTATTTGAGGTTATGGTAGCAGACCCTCCTTGTAGGGAGCAGGAGAGATGCCACAGGTGAGTCAGCATTTTCCCCTGTGATCACGCAGCAGGAGTGATACTACTCACTCCAACAGATGCAGCTCAGTCACTTTGGATTACTCCACACTGACATGCCCTACAATGTTCAAGACAGCTATAATTCCAGAGGGAACAGGACACTGTACCCTTAGTGTAGAGGTGGTGGGAAAACCTCAGGTCTATGTAGAGAAATCTCAACTGTAGAGTCTGTAAGCCTTCACTTTGCTACAACGCAGCTCAGACTTTATCCTTCCATATGCCTCCTCCCTGCCTCATCTGACCCACCTAACTCTCTCTGAAGACACCAACACATGCTCTTGTGAGCTGAATCATGTTCCCACCTGCCTCAGCTACCTCCCTGATGCATGGCTACCTTTCAATGATACATCACTATTTTTTCCATTCTTACTGAATCATTTCCTTGGCAAACAAACACCATTAAAAATAATTTACTCCTGGCTACTCTTAATTACTATTCCGTTTATTTACTCCTCTTTGCAGAAAAGCTTCCTGAAGGAGTCATTTACACTTGAAAGCTTTACCTCTTCTCCCTTCGTTCTCTCTTTGGCCCACTCCCATTAGTCAGTTCCCCATCCTTGTCTGATTTAAACTCTTCACAGCATGTGACACAAATGACTCCTGCCTTCATTAAACCCCATCTTCCTCTACCCACTGGGAACTTCTGTCTCTGGGTTCTTCCCTTCCCTTACTGACTTCGCCTTCCGTTTTCTTTCTTGGAGTCTTTCCTTCTCTATTTGTATACGTTCTGTGCAACAGGCCTCAAGCCTGTGAACTGTCTCATCAACCGTCACTCACCTCTGTTTGATTCTATTGTTTTATTTATCATGTGAGCACTATTATTTTTTTTTGGAGAGAGAGTCTTGTTCTCTTGCCCAGGCTGGAGTGTGGTAGTGTAATCTCGGCTCACTGCAACCTCCACCTCCCAGGTTCAAGCGATTCTCCTGCCTCAGCATCCTGCGTAGCTGGGATTACAGGCACATGCCACCACGCCTGCCCTTTTGTACTTTTAGTAGAGATAGGGTTTCAACATGTTGGCCAGGTCTTGAACTCCTGACCTCAAGTGACCTGCCTGTCTCGGCCTCCCAAAGTGCTGGGATTACAAACCTGAGTCACTGTGCCTGGACTCTATGTGTACACTGTTAAAGCCCAAATTTATATCTCTAACTGCCAACATCCCCCCTGAACTCTTGACTAACATGTACAGTTTCCTACTCAATATTTCTACTTGGGAATCCAACAGGCAACTTAGAATTCACATATTTAAAATGAAACCCTTGATTTACTCTGTGTTCCTCCACTGTGTGGATTTCTCTTCATCTCATCTGCCACCATGAATGGCTGCTTGCTCGTACCGAAAACTTTGGAGTCATTCATGATTCTCAAATTCATTGAAATTCTAATCATATCTCACCAGCCAGTCCTATTGGCTCTATCTTTAAAGAAAATAGATGCTACAACCACTTATCCTCACATCTGTCCTTACTATTTCATCATTTCATCATTAATTCTTCCTGTTCCAGGAGGACAGTTTCAGTAGAGTTTAACTGGTCCCCTCCTCCTTTCCTTCATCATTCAGTCTATTTTCTACCAATTTATACCATTGTTCTTTAAAAAATAAGTGAAGCCATGTCAATCTTCTGTTGAAACTCTTCTGAAGGCTTCCCGTCTTACTAGGTAGGAATGAGCTGCAGTGGCACTACCTGGCGTGGCAGACCTACCTGATGGTACCATGAACCATCCTTCTGACATCGTTTGCTACTGTCTTTCCCCCTCTCACGTTTACTCTAACAACATGGGCCTATGTCTCTCAGTCTAATTTGCACACCCATCTGGGAAGCTTTGTACCTTCTGTTTCCTTAAAATGAAAACGTTCTTTGTCTTCATATTTTCATGCATTTCATTTTACTCTTTGTTAAAATGCTACCTTGTTAGGCAGCCTGTGCCTATCCTATACAGAGTAGGTATCAATTTCAATCAATCTCTATGCTGCTTAATTTTATTAATAAAATCCATTCCCACTAGACATATTATGTGTTTATATTTTTTATTGTCCGTACACCTGCTGTATCTCCTCATTAGAATGTAAGCTTTACGAGAGAGGAGAGATTGTCTGCTTTATCTGTTTTACTTACTGCTGTAGCCCCAGTCTGCACAGCAGTATCTGGCACTTTATGGATGCCCGATAAACATTTGCCGAATGAATGAACTCATTCATCTTGCATAGCAGATGTCAGATTACTCTCTCAAAAGCACACATTCTGCATCAACCATCTTCTATTCAAAGTATTTCCTAAATTCTCCATTCATGCTGAATTAAGTCTAAAAATATCTTAACCTGGCATTTCAGATACTACGAAGAAGTGGAAGGGGAAGAGAATTAACAGTATTTGCCAGTGAAGTAATAAATTTTATATATAAGAAATGAATTTTCATGGGAAGGAAACAAAGTTAAGAGGGATTATACAGCTTTAAAACATAGTAGAGGAAGCTGGGTCAAAATCTGAAAAAACCTCATGCAATAATAATGACACTGACTATAATAAAAACGAATTGAAACTTGTCCAGTTTCATATCAACGAAAGACCTTGATGAGCGAGGCCACTAAGAAGATGACTTGTGTAACACCATGATCAATTTGAGGCATATTTAACATATTATTGACAAAGAAAGAGCCTATTTCAGCAGAACATTGGGAACCTATTGTACTAGAAGCAGTACTAAAATTTGGCCTCCTTCCATCTTCCATAGAGAAGAGTTAGGAATATGTAAAATCTATTTTCAAAGAATAATTGATGAATTACTGTATTTAAGAAGAAAAAATAGTTTGTGCAACACCAGAGAACATAAATACATCCAGTAGTTTTAAACAATAAAGAAATGTGTTCAGTTAGTCTAAGAAAACCAGTTGAAAGATTTCTCCAAATACTACAGTTGCAGAAGATGAAAGGAGGAATTTTAGGCATCTACATATTTCAAAACATTAGCAGAGATACCAGGAGAGAAGGCAAAAGGTGACAAAATGATTTAAATGTGTTACAAATCTATGAATACTCTAACTGCAAGGGGTTGGGGGAAAACCTACTGACATAAGAAACTTCGGAAATGAATGAAATCTATAAGAATGAAGGCCAAAGGAGTTGTACAAAAGCACCATGCTCTGGCAGGAAATTTGTTTCCCATGGGGTACAGCTTAACATTTCTGATACCGCTATGCAGAGGTGTATCAGAATTGAACAATTAATAGGAACTCATTTGTAGCTTAGATACTGATGTTTACATTAACAATATTTAAAGATATGTGTCTATGCATGGGCTAGTCTATGCTAGTATATTTTCCTGCTCTCAACAGAGTGCTTGGAAACAATGTGAGCATTGTACAGTAGCACTGAGCACACTTAGCAAGCAGATTTTGGTTTCTAATACCATTCTCAATTAAAGGAGCCAAATCTTCTCACAGTAAGGGAAAATTCTAAGACTGACATGGAACATATACAAGATAAGCCTGGGACATTTTGTGGTTCCAGAAAGGACAAAAAAAAAGTTAAACATAATTCTCAAATTATTATAAATTAAAAGTTTGCTTTAAAAAGTGATTAGCTACAATGACCAATGAGGTTTCCAGAACTAGAAATATTCAGGTAGAGGGAATGTCTGGTTTGAATCTGTGGTTGAATCAGGACTCTAATTTCCTGTGGGACTCTGTCTGTGTAACTAAGTGTATCACTGCCATATTATTAATCTTTATTTTTTCTTTTTGGTATAGCCCACTGCAGCCTTGACCTCCTGGGCTCAACCAATCCTCTTGCCTCAGCCTCCCAAATAGCTGGGACTATAGGCACATGCCAGCACATCAGGCTTTTTTTTTTTTTTTTTTTGTACATATGGGGTCTCACTATGTTGCTCAGGCTGCTCTCGTACTCCTAGGCTCAAGTGAGCCTCCTGCCTCAGCCTCCCAAAGTGCTGGGATTACCAGAGAAAGCCACCACGCCTGGCCTTGTATTATTAATCTTATACTACTACTTAGCAGGAGGTAGAATACCATTGTTGTTAAAAGCCCAGGCTATGGGCAGAATGAAGGCATTTGAATACTGGCCATCAGTCATCATCCAGGTGCGCTCGGTGGGTTTCTGAGCTTCCCTAAGCGTCGTCTGCCTCATCGACACCAAAGGTGTAACAATAGTCTCTATGTGACTGGTTGTAATAAACATTACATAAAATATCCACAGACATGTAGTATTAAACCAGACATGAACATTAGATAAAACAATCCCAGATTTATTAAATAAAATAATAATCTCCAGATAATTGACTCTCTTTTTATCTACTCATCTTTCATGTATCTATTCAGGTGTCATTCTGTTTAAAAATAAACAAGTATTTATATCTTTCAAATCTAATCTAACCCAACATGATCAACTATATCAGCATTTTGGTTTTGTCTGTTCTTCATTCAAATTTAACTTCTCTCAATGATTTTTAAATAATTATCCTATATTTTACATCACTGTGTATGCTTTTACTCACATCACTCTCTTAATTGTATCTGTAGTCAATACCCAGATGAGATGTTTAAATACGCAGTTCAGATGCCACCTCATTAACAAATCATGTCCTGCTATTTCCAGCTAGCTCACTTCCTCATCCCAATTAGCTTATCCCACTGTTTTCATAACTTTTATTATCCTCATTGCATTGTGCTATGCTTTATGGCTGTACGCAGGCTTTATTTCAACTATCAGATACTGGACAATAAAGCAGAATGTATGTTTTTTCCTGCATTTCTTTCATAGCACTGGGCAAACTTCAGGCTCTGGATTCATAATAGGGGCTCAATGAATCTGAATTAATAAAGGCAGTTATATTTCAGAAGACTTTGGTTTCATATGGTCAATATCTCTGCAAAAACCTCTGTATATTTGTAAATTCTTGAGCCGATAGATACTTAAAATGCAATCACTGTCAATTTGGCTCCAAGCTTCATTGCTGCAAGATGAAGACTCACAGGCAACATATGCCTACCAATGATTAGCTGTCAAAATTCAAGCAAAAATTACAGCACACAGAGAGCAAGACAAGCCACTTGGAAAACATCATTTTGCTTTCTTAGCTTTTTTTGTTTACTATCTCTTGTTGGGTCATTGCCAATTGATGCCAACTTTGCAACAGTTCATGCAGGAATCTACCAAGCAGAAAAATCTATATATTTTAATATGTTTCTCCTAGTTTTGAGATAGCACTTATTTATCTACAACAACATTGGTTCAGAAAATTGGTGCCGGTCATTTTGTTTGCCTTTTCTCAGTGACTGTGTCACGTTCGCTATGGAAACTGGGTCACAATGGAATATCAGCATCACTGAAAGTCTTCTGATTCTTTCTTTCAATGGAAATGCACTCATATTGTATGATGGTATTCATTTCTAAAACAATACTTCCCATGTTCCTGAAAACAGAATTCTTAAAAGCATTCCCACAGTCAAATGAACTCATGAAGACTGGAATGTGTGTTCTGATTTGTGGTTCAAGAAACCTTATTATAAAAAGTATAGCTAGATTTCTACCATCATAAACAGTGCAGATAAATTGTTTTAATATACATATTTTACTATCTGCTATCATCAGTTTGAACTTTCATGGAGATATGACACTGACAAAGAATTATCTTGCCGATAACAAGAACAACTGCACCAAAAAGACCACCATAAGATCTAGCCTATATCCAACGCCTTAAAATATATTAAATGCTCTCCTTTCCACACTCTTTAGAAAAAAATCTGACATCCTTTAGCCAACACTTAGCTAGTTAATACAACACATTTCAAAAAACACAAAGTTACATATATATGGTATATTTTATGCATTTGCTTGAAAAGAGAATTATATAAGAATCCTTCTGATAGAATATTTGTTTTCTGAACAATTAATGATTCAGTATATTCATAACAAAAGGATATCAGGTAATATATGACTATAAATATTGTCTTTATTTCCACAATTTTAAGTCTATATCATTATACTTACAGCATTAGACTCAAAAATTACTATTTAGCTTTTTATTATGTTCCCTGTAATCATCCTCAAACTCTTATTTATATGCATATGTACATCTCATTTAGAGTTATAAACTTTTCACATGTCAGGCACTTTTGGAATCATTCTATCAAATCTATTCTTTTTAGTGATGATAAAACAGACACTGAAAAACAGGATGACCTACTGAAAGTCAAACAGTTCTATTGATTCATAGTACTATGACCTGATCCCTTTACCAAGAAAATGAGAAAAGTAGAAAAAGAGTAGCTTAACAACAATAAAACCAACAGTAAAATCACCTCATACTACAGTCCATATACTGTCCTTTATTTTTGAGAGAATAACATCAAAAATCTATTTAAATGGAATTGCAAACATTTGGGTCATTGTTGAGCCTATGGAATCCTGAAAGAAACAAGTTAAAAGTTGGAGGCATAAAGGGGTGTAGAGAACACTATCAGCAATAAGAAATGAGGTATGCAGCATAGGCGACCAAATATCATAAAACTATAGACAAAGGTGCTTTAAAAATTCATCATTCGGGGGCCATTCAGTGTAGGGACAAGTCATCCTGGACACTTTAATAACTTCTGCAGTTATCTGCAAGTGCAGTTCAGTACCATAATTATGGAGCATAGAGACACTATGGAGGCAGAGCGAAGGGGAGACATCATGTTCGGTGCATGCTTTTGTGGAATGATGGGTGGTGAATATCAGCAAGTTTTCTATCCATAATGGATAACATCAAGGAACTTCCTAATAACTTTCTTATTCTGAAAACGCATTTACATGCACCATCTGAATTCCAGACAAGAGTGGATAGATAAGGTCATAATCTATCACATGCACACCTCTGAAGGTTAAGGAAATAAATAATAGAAAATGAATAATAGAAGAGAGAAGACCAAATTGAACACTGCCATGAGACTGAATGTGGACATATTGGCTATCTGTGTTCTCTGTATGGGGTAGGGGGCTGAGAGAGAGAGAGAGAGAGAGAGAGAGAGAGAGAGAGAGAGGAGAGAGAAGAGTTGGGAATTTATATGAAGAATCTTAATTGCTGATTTATTTCCCCTACTTGATGTACCTCCCAGTTAGGTCTCATAGAAAAATAAGACTATGTAGCCTGACTCAGTTTTGCAAATGGGACAAGAATCGCTTAGCTGGACAAACACATACAAGGTATATTCCATTACCTTATTAATTCACCTTCACCTTCCTCAAGAACTGTACTGTATGCTGGTAGACTTTCTAAAATGGAATCCCTACATCTCTATATAGTTTATGCCAAATCTGTGAGTAGATGGGCAATTTCTCCTTTTCTCCCAAAAAAACACTAGAAAACTGTATTTGTGAGACAACAGAGGCGATGATGAAAGAACAGGGCAATGTATGAATTTAGACATATTAGGAAATTTGCTGAAAAATCATCACCAAGAACAGTATAGGGTGGCAGGGGAGGAAGTGAGGGGATGACAGAAAGGAGCAGAGAAAATAGAGATGTTTTTGGGATGACCTAAAGCTCATTTTAAAGAGCAAGATTCAGCGAATTTATCTCAGAGACATCAATCCTACCTATTTCTGAAATAGTCTTCGTATTTTATCTACTTATTTTTATGCATATAAAGATTGTATTATAAAAATTAGCATAATTTCTTTAAGAAATTTTAAAGAGCAAAATTACACTTCTTTGAAGCTATCTATACTCTGGCACTATTTTCTTCCAGGTAGAATTCTTCTGTAAAATGTAAGTAATGAAAGTATGAGAGTGTATGGAAATACCTAAGCCATGATTAAATTGTTAGAAAGATCAGGCTTTGACATTCGAATGACATCATTCATAATTTCATAACTTTGTTTTAACTGTGGTAAACTTTACTTTTACTAGCTAATTTAATTGGGAATAGATTTTGTCTTTTCCTTGTTTAAAAAAATTAAATAAGAAAAAACATTTTAAAGCTATTTGGTACTAGACATATTCCTTTATCTCTTCATGCTCCTTCTGTGCTTTTGTTATAATATCCACCCTCTCCAAAATTCATATTTGGATTTGGGTGTGTCCCCAGTCTGTCTGGGACCAGATGAAAATTTACAAACCTAACCGGATTATAAATGTTCCAGTGCACTGTGCCTGCAGCATTGGACGGCAGCCGAGACTCGGGAGACGGAGCCTTGAAATTCTGACTCAGAGTTTGCAGACTTCAGAGGTAGGTAGAGTCTCAGTGGTAACTGTTAGGAAGTTGCTTGACAACAGTTAGCTTCAGGAAATGCCTCTTTTCTTTATTTTTTCTAACCTAATTTCATCTGTCTTCAGCACCCATTTTTCAGGATGGATAGGAAGTTCAGTATCAGTCACGGCTGTGAGTATTTTCATGGCTCAGTGAGATCATGAAAGACATGCAGGGTGCAGGTGGTTGCAGAACAAGGAGGTGTCGCCTGGGCTGAGGTTCAGGCAGGTGCTTCCCTTCCTCTCAGGCTCTGCTGCTCCATGTGCAGTGCAGGGAGAGCCCTCTCCCCACGGGGAGGTTTCTCACTGTGGACCCTCAGGGTTCTCCTGAACATGTGGGCTTGGAGGTGCAGTCTTAGAGAGTTTGCCAAAGCCAGGCCAGTCCTGTCGGCAATCCCACCACAGGAGACCAAGGCCCAGCTTCATGGAGGTGGGACCAGGGCAGTCTGGAGGGCCCTGGACTCTGAAGTTTTCTGCACTTAGGGATTGATGATCTGTGGTTGCAGTTCTGAATCCTTAATATTTCATCTTTCAAAATGTGCTTCATAAGTGAAATCTGATGGGACGATGCAGACTGCAGGGAGACTTGGGGTCTCAGTTTCTAGGAGATCCCATCTACAGCCACAACACTATCTCCTCTTCTGAATTTTTCTCATGCTGCTTGCTCCCCGACCCTGTGGACCTTGAGTCCCACCCAACTTCCCCTCCCTCTCCAAGCCTGAGCAGGGGCTAGGCGTGGGTGCAGGAGAGTGAGTGCACCCAGCACATCTGGTTGAGATGCATGCAGGTGGCTGTCCCAGGCCCGTTGGCAGCAATAGGCTGGAGGAAGGCTCCCAGCCACCCCTACCCCAGACGCAGCATGTCCCAGCACTGCATGGAGCCCCTTGTGGGCACCTGTCTGCTGCAGGGGCAGGGGTCCTGGAGGAAAGTACAAGCCTCCTCGGCAGGCCTTTCTTTATCCTGGCTTCCACCACCCATATTCTCCACAGGCTCTTCCTTATGAGCATCATGTTTTTTGTGAAAATAAATTTGTTAACTTATTATAACTTTTAATTAATAAATGTGTAATTTTCGAATGAGTTTAATTAATAAAGAAAACCTAACATGTCAGTGCCTGCTATGTGTGAGGCTGAGTTAGACACTGGGAGAAGGTGATAACTAAATGTGACCTCTACTGCCAATGGTTCAGAGCCTGGGAGGGGAGAAAACCCAGGAGTCCACAGCTTCCAGCAGCATGACATGTGCTTGAACACCATCTATGGGCCTTTCCTCTCTGCTGAATCCACATGGGATGGTAAGACCATGCCACTTCAGTAGAAGAGGGAAATCTATCCAGTCAAGGAGGTCCCTGTAAACAGCATGAAAACATGAAGACAGTAGGACACTTCAGAAGCAATTTTTCTTCAGCCTCAAACCATGCCCTCTCTTGGGATATTATTTAATAACGTGCCCAATAGTCCTCAAGTCCTAATGCTCTTCTATTCTATTATTGTCTATTGTTCATTCATAGTCTCGTTTATTGTATTATTTACACGTTTATTGTTATTGTCTGCCCTTTGTCTCTCAAATTCAAGGTAAGAGTATGCAATTTTAAAGTTCTGGCCAGAGTAATCAGGCAAGAGAAAGAAATAAAGGGTATTCAATTAGAAAAAGGGGAAGTCAAATTATCTGTTTGCAGATGACATGATTGTGTATTTAGAAAACCCCATCGTCTCAGCCCAAAATCTCCTTAAGCCAATAAGCAATTTCAGCAAAGTCTCAGGATATGAAATCAGTGTGCAAAAACGACAAGCATTCCTATACACCAATAACAGACAGAGAGCCAAATTATGAGTGAACTCCCATTCCTAATTGCTACAAAGAGAATAAAATACCTAGGAATACAACTTACAAGAGACATGAAGGACCTCTTCAAGGAGAACTACAAATCACTGCTCAAGGAAGTAAGAGAGGACACAAACAAATGGAAAAACATTCCATGCTCACAGATAGGAAGAATCAATACCATGAAAAATGGCCATACTGCCCAAAGTAATTTATAGATTCAATGCTATCCCCATCAAGCTACCATTGACTTTCTTCACAGAATTGGAAAAAAAAACTGCTTTAAATTTCATATGGAACCAAAAAAGAGCTCGCATAGCCAAGACAATCCTAAGCAATGAAGCTGGAGGCATCACGCTACCTGACTTCAAACTATACTACAAGGATACAGTAAACAAAACAGCACAGTACTGGTACTAAAACAGATATATAGACCAATGGAACAGAACAGAGGCCTCAGAAATAACACCACACATCTGCAACCATCTGACCTTTGACAAACCCGACAAAAACAAGCAATGGGGAAAGGATTCCCTATTTGATAAATGGTGTTGGGAAAACTGGCTAGCCATATGAAGAAAGCAGAAACTGGATCCCTTCCTTACACCTTATACAAAAATTAACTCAAAATGGATTAAAGACTTCAATGTAAGACCTAAAACCATAAATATCCTGGAAGAAAACCTGGGCAATACCATTCAGGCCACAGGCAAAGGCAAAGACTTCATGACTAAAACACCAAGGGCAATGGCAACAAAAGCCAAAATTGACAAATGGGATCTAATTAAACTAAAGACCTTCTGCACAGCACAAGAAAATATCATCAGAGTGAACAGCAACCTACAGAATGGGAGAAAATTTTTGCAAACTATCCATCTGACAAAGGGCTAATATCCAGAATCTACAAAGAACTCAAACAAATTTACAAGAAAAAAACAAACAACCCCATCAAAAAGTGGGTGAAGGATATGAACAGACACTTCTCTAGAAGACATTTATGCAGCCAAAAAAATATGAAAAAATGCTCATAATCACTGGTCATTAGAGAAATGCAAATCAAAACCACAATGAGATACCATCTCACACCAGTTAAAACAGCGATCATTAAAAAGTCAGGAAACAACAGATGCTGGAGAGGATGTGGAGAAACAGGAACACTTTTACACTGCTGGTGTGAGTGTAAATTAGTTCAACCATTGTGGAAGAAACCGTGGCGATTCCTCAAGGATCTAGAACTACAAATACCATTTGACCCAACAATTCCATTACTGAGTATATACCCAAAGGGTTATATATCATTCTACTATAAGGACACATGCACATGTATGTTTACTGCAGCACTGTTCACAATAGCAAAGACTTGGAGCCAACCCAAATGCCCATCAATGGTAGATTGGATAAATAAAATGTGGCACATATACAGCATGGAATAGTATGCAGCCATAAGAAAGGATGAGCTAATGTCCTTTGCAGGGATGTGGATAAAACTGGAAACCATCATTCCCAGCAAAGTAACACAAGAACAGAAAACCAAACACCACATGTTCTCACTCAGAAGAGTTGAACAATGAGAACACATGGATACGGGGGGGGGGAACATCACACACTGGGGCCTGTGGCGGGTGGGAGGTGGCGGCGGGATAGCAGTAGGAGAAATACCTAATGTAGATGATGGGTTGATGGGTACAGCAAACCACTATGGCACATGTATACCTATGTAACAAACCTGCACATTCTGCACATGTACCCCAGAACTTAAGAGTATAATGATAAAAAAAGAAACATTTTAGTGAGACATCTTACGTAGTCTTCCGATGATAGTGATGGCAAAGCTCCCTTTCCAGAAATTTCTGTTCATCCCTGTCCAGACCATGGCTGGACTACCCCTGGTGTAAAAGAAAAAAAGAAACCAGTTAGCAAAGGCAAGCCTGGAGCAGCCTATATTTGTTTTGCCAGTTGCCGGCCTGGAAGCACAGGCTCTCACTGATGTGTCCTGGCTTCCAAGGCAGCGATGTGCCTGAGGCTTTAGCCACAGTGGTGTGTCCATTTAGTAGCTATAGCGCAGTTTCAGTTTTTCTCTCCCTTTCCAACCCTCACCACACACACAAAAATGTACAGAAGCATTTTCCTGCCTTCCTGGCAGTCACAAACAGTCCTTTGATTAATCTCAGTGATTGGGAAACCTACTTTGTCTTTAGCGTCCCACGCTCCTATTACATGAAAAGTTATCGTTCTGGGGATTTCACTTGAATCCTTATTTTGTCAAACAAGTGATTTATCAGTGAAACTTAAAAAAATCTCAAATAAATGTGTAAAGTCAGTCTCAATACTTAAAATAGATTTTAGAAAAGATAATTGGGTTGACTGAAGGATCAGGTGGGAGGAGCCACTTCGTGCAACCCTTTTTCTACATCAGTGTGGAATGAGCCATGCAAGAGGTTATACAGAATGAAGAACAAAGATTAGGGGTCCTTTAATTTACTTTGAATCTCTGACACAATATGTGACTTTCATCACTTCATCTCTTGGCCTTAGTTTTTTGTCTGCCAAATAGGAGGGCTGTACCAGGTGACCTCCATTCTAGGTTAATTTTATGCATCTAATATTTTATGATGGTCCACAACGTGCCCACTTAACATATGTGCTCCCAAGGAACACCACCGTTTTGACAGACACAATTTCCCAGGAGGGCTACCATCATAGGAAAAAAAGGTAAGTTGTGACTATTAAAAAATAAATTATTTGGCCAGGCACGGTGGCTACTGCCTGTAATCCCAGCACTTTTGGAGGCCGAGGTGGGCAGATCACAAGGTCAGGAGTTGGAGACCAGCCTGGCAAACGTGGTGAAATCCTGTCTCTACTAAAAATACAAAAAGTTAGCTGGGTGTGGTGGCAGGCCCCTGTAATCCCAGCTACTCAGGAGGCTGACAGGAGACAATTGCTTGAATTCAGGAGGTGGAGGTGGAGGTTGCTGTAAGCCGAGACCGGGCCTTTGCACTCCAGCCTGGTGACAGAGCGAGACTCCGTCTCAAATAAAAAAAAAAAAAAAAAAAAAAAAAAAAAAAATATATATATATATATATATATATATATTATATTTATATATGTGTATATATATATAAAATATGTATGTGTGTATATGTATGCATGTGTGTGTGGGTGTGTGTATGTATTTATATATATATATATAATGTCAAAACATAATCCATGTGCCTTTAAACAAACACAGCAGGCCGGGCGCGGTGGCTAATGCCTATAATCCCAACACTTTGGGAGGCCGACGTGGGTGGATCACTTGAGGTCAGGCGTTTGAGACCAGCCTGGCTGACATGGTGAAACCCCATCTCTACTAAAAATACAAAAATTAGCCAGGTGTGGTGGTGCATGCCTGTAACCCCAGCTATTCTGGAGGCTGAGGCAGGAGAATTGCTCAAACCCAGGAGGTGGAGGTTGCAGTGAGCCGAGACAGCACCCCTGCAGTCCAGCCTGTGTGACAGAGCAAGACGCCGTCTCAAAAAAGAAAAAAAAAAAAAACAAAAACAAATAAATGAACACAGCAGTATTTGCTAACTCAATCACAAAAGTAAGCGTGAAAGAGAGAAGTGAGAAGAAGGGGTGATGAAGAGCACTAGAGGCGAGCAGCTGAGGACCAGGGTGGGAAACGCGCCACCCACACCCACGGCAAGCCAGGGGCGGCCGGCAACCGCAGAGCAATGCTTCATAAACTGAAGGAGACCAGGGTGTGTATTACCACTCATTCACTTTTCTCAGCAACACTGGCTGCAGGAAGCCAGAGAGAAAGGCGACTACTTGGCTCCCATCAGACTTGAACTAGAAAATCATTTTCATCTATGGCCACCACATAAGAAAAGAGAAGTGAACTTTAATTTACATATCAGTAGCTACAACGATAGAGGAAATTGAAAGAGTTAACATTATTGTAACTTTTTAGCTTGGAGAACCGTATCGATGAAGACACAATAGCTGCCTTTTCATCTCAAATATCTGCTTTTATCAGATGAATTACCTGAATTTTATTTCATCTTAAAAGGAGATATTTGAACTGGTTAGTTGAGCAGGAAGATGGAGTGTCCACACAACAGAAGATGTTCGAACAGCTTGATGACTACTTGTAGCAGAAGTTACAAGAAGGGTTGAAATATTGGATATGGAGTTAGACAAGATAAAACCCAATGATTTTATTCTTTCATGGATCCAAGAAAAAATAGCAAATGTATTTGTTTATCACCTAAGATGGAGCTGCATGTGATAAAACCCACAAAAAAATGACATATGATTTTTTTTCTCGCCCATATAAGTAGAGTGTAAAAATAAGCCTCATGTGGATTACACGGAAAATGTACTAAGATATTTAAGGTCCTGAGCCTTTCAGCTCACCAAGGGCAAGACCTTTTTCTGTTAGTCAAGAATGACTGCTAGTGTGCCAGCCCTTACACCGGAACTCCCAGCCTTCCCCCTTTGACACTCATCCCAGGAAGACCAATGGGGAAATGAGAAAGGGGCAAAGTGTGCATCAGAAGGATTTTTCAAGTTTCATTCAATATTTACAGGTGTAGACCCTTGACTCTAACTCAGCATATCATCACCTAACAGCAATGGGAGCTTGAAAACAAAGACTTAATTCTGTGCACCCATGAGCCAAACTAAAGTTAGGGGAAGAAGAAAGAAGGCAAAGTTAACAATGAGATAGGCAATAATATTTTCTGGTGCACCATCTAAACAATAGATGATATGCTGGAATAAACCTCTCATTAGGTAATGAAGGCATTTTTCTCCCCACAGGAAAAAACAGTGAAGGCTGCAATGCACTACTAGAAATGGGAAAACAGCCTGGAAGCAGCACAGTAATTCAGATAAATAAACAGACGTTGTAAGCTGGCAATTCTTCTCAGATAATCCCTGTTAAAGGTTGATTGATGATAGTGCAAGAGGGCATAAATAAAAATTAACAAAAAGTTCAAATCAGACATAAGAAAGCATTTTTCCATAAACAAAATAAAATAAACATTCTGAAAAGCCAATGGGCAACTTTTTAAATGAAAATATTAATGCATATCCAAGAAGCAATTCGACACTGTCATGGGAAAGCAGTGCACAGAAATTGATGGGCATCATTGAACCAAATAGTTTGTTTACATTTTTCTACCTATGCATTAAGCACAAAAACCCTTAATTATTTTTTAAAAAATAAAAAAATCCTTCAAAATAAATAATTTACCAATTATGGGGAGAAAAATAGAACTCCATTGATGACTGTGTTGAACAGCACTATTAAGCACTTCAATGATGAACAACTACTGTGAACCTCATCAATAATAAGCCACTTATGATTGTGTGTCTAGAGCGTGTTTCCAGCCTCTTTTTCTAGCCAGAAAGCAGCAAGAGATATTGGAAAATGTGTAATATGGGGGTTATGATCAGGTGAACAGAGCAGTGATTAAAGGGTAAAGTATACATTTTAAACTACTCATAACCTGTAGACACTTAAAACTCCAAAGAGTGGAGGTTCATTCAAAAGCCTACGCAGGCTTTGGGCGGGGGTTTCTTAACACTGTTATCACTTAAATGTCACTTGTAAGGACCCACATTTAATAAGCTGGAACTCAAAGTTCATTTTCCTGTGAGGACATTGTAACAAGATGTGCCACACTAACACCCTACAGAGTGCATTTAAGAAACACGGTAGCAGGGATGATCACAGCATGGTGTATAGAACCTGCTTTAGGGATTAGGCAGAGCCAGGAATCTTCAGAGGAGATTCTGATATCTGGCATTATGTACGGCTCCACTTAGGGGCATCAAATCCTACAGTTACAGAAATTCCCCATTAGATAGTTTTCACAACAAACACGTATAATCAAAGCAACATTTCCTAATTATCAAGGAGAACACTCAGAAGTGGACAGATGATATCTTCAAATTCATAAAGAAGCACAGCCAACAGAACAGACAACAGGGCAATGACTGAGTTTGCATCAGGATTGGGCTTGAGGTCCTATTTGTTAGAAATGCTGTTCAGCTCTGCCTGAGTGCAATGGCCATCTGAATGCTGAAAGGAGACACTCGCTTCTGTATAGTCAGTACCGACGGTTCCAATAAAATAAGTTCAGTCTGATTAAATTAAGAAGAGAAATATTCTGTGAGGGTATTCTGGATTTGTGAGGAAGGCTGCAGAAGCAGGCTTGGGCTGGGCTGGGCCCGACGGAGGCAAAGCCCAGCGATGCCTGTCTCAGGAAGGACTGTGTTCTACCCACCATACTGCAGGCACCCGCTGCCCTGGCCACTTCGTGCTGCGTGCCAGGCTGTTACCGGTGAACTCTTCCACCCACGACTGGAGCCAGAGAAGGAATCTTCGGCTGGTTCCACGGGGTTCTGACCTGTGTCAGGCTCTGTAAGGAAGATCCACTGTACAAGGTCCTTCAGGACAGCATCCCGACCTGATGAGGCTCCGACTCGTGGGGATGCCAGGGCTGCATGTCCCACAGCCACAGCTCTGAGTGTGATGTCGACTTCCTCCTCCAAAGTGTGTGTCATGGTGTTTAGGTTACCAGGACAGCAATGAGGAATTCAGAAAATGTACAGGAGCTGAGGCTGGCAGAAAGAGAAAGCAAGTCCACATCCGGAATCCATGCTTATTTCAGTGAGAGATGCCTGGTGCTTTTGTCCCAGAGCAGCCTGGTGCCACCTGGAAGCCAACAGCCCCCTAGACGTTGGCACCGCACTGGAGCCTGGATATTGGTTTCCTCACTGGTAAACAAGGCTTTGCAGGGACAGCAGCTGGACTGGCTGTGGAAGTGTCATGACTGAGCTAGGCCAAGCCCCAGCAGCCTTGCACGGCTGCTTTGCTCATGATCCCACTGAGAAACACTGGTATGGGGTGGAACAGGGCAGCTGTCATCAGACAGAGAGGGCATCTATCGCCCCTAAGAGCATCCCCCTTGCAGGCAGCGATTCATGAGTACTCAAACAGGAGAGTGTTCTCATCCTCCAGCAGAGTGACCAGCAGTCCAGTTGGGCCTGGAACTGAGGAATTTCCTAAGATGCAGGATGTTATCGGTAACAGAAGCAAAAATTCAGAAAGTTTGAACAGGTAGGTCACCCTGCTCTCTGGGCTCATTGTGAAGTGCATCTGACCCCTTCTGCTGCAAGCCTCCCTGTTAGCAATCTTGTGCTCTTGCCTCTCCCAAGACTTTGAGCACAGGGCCCTGGTTTACGCCGTTGTTGTCTGTACCCTGGGGCACTGTTCAAGACGGCACCACGATAAACGTAGTTCAGAATTCTGCCAGGGAGAGGGTTTTCCTTTTACCCCAGTCTTCTAGTTACTGAGAAGAATTATAATGACATAAGCATTCTCTTTCAGCAGATACCAGCAGACTAGGCCAACTCATCTGAAACCAGATTTATTTATTTTTCTCTACATTGCGCTGGATTAACAAACTTAGAAACTCCCACAAAGCCATAGCAGTGGGTTGAAGGAGGGCCATGGAGGCAGGAACAGGCAGGATGGACAAGCAGAAGATGAGCTCATGCGAGTCAGTAAAGCCCCTTACACCTGCATCGTCTGTATGCCATGTGTGTGACGTGACCCCCTCGTGTGACGGATGCTGCTCAGTTTGCAGAAGAGAATGTCAGTGTCCTCAGGGGTTTAGGAGACCTGGACATTGGCTCAAACCTGGCTATTTACAAAGTAACCACATGCTCTAAGAGTGCTGCTCCAGACTCACAGTGGCAGATTCATCTCACCAGTGTTAACAATACAACACATTTGCAGATACAGGCTGACACAGACAACTGGGAGGGCTGACAGTTACTGTTAGGAACATAACTGCATCTATAAGCCATGCATGCCTCGCTCCTGACTCTACCCCAAAAAGAAACAAGCAGTCAAGCAAATGGACTGGCAAAGGTGGAGACTTTTAATCCTCCATGAGCCTTGCTGCTCAGCAGTGAGCACACACACACATACTACCACACACTCATACAAGCGTGTGCGCGCACACACACACACACTGATTTGCACCCTTTGAAGAGTGCCTCAACTTGTCCTAGCACCTTGTTTCACCTGAGGAGTGGCAATTAAGCGATAGAAGTGGCTCATGTCCTGCACAGTTCCTACAAAAATCACAGACCTTTCTCTGCTCTTTCATCAAACTTGGGAAACAACTGAGGCTTCAATGGGGCCTCCCGGAAGGACCCTGTCTCTCATCCGCGGCTCATCTGCAACACCCAGGGACCATCAGGTTACCTGTGACAACTCGTTTTTCCTTTTTACAAAATTAATGGTTGCTGCTTCTACACCAAAAAAAAAAAAAAAAAGAGTTCAAACAGAGGTGTGGGTGAACGTAGCTCTTCTAGAAAGGAACAAAAAAAGGAAAAACAAAAGAACAAAGAATGGTGCACCCAAATGAGCCATGATAAATTATGTGCTTATTATCTTGAGAGATTCTATTTTAAAAAAATATAGTAAAATAGTGGTTCCCATGAAAATCATTGTTAAGAGACAATATTAAAATATGACTACAGTGCATTTTTAGTGTTTTTGTAACAAAATATGTATTGGCATTTTGACTCAATGAAACAATCAAGATTTATTTTTCACTTGAGATAAATATTGACCTTAATAACCCCAATCAATAATCCCCCTTTGGGATAAATGCAACTACATATTTATCTCACCACAAGTCAATAATAGTTTTTTTCTGCAGAGTACATCAAATGTTCTCTCTTTACCAATTTTCTACATTTTATATTCTCAATGATATTTCTATTATTCAAATTTATTAATCTAACAACTATTTGGATTTACATTTGTCTGACTTATAAAAGCTTTTTATTCTAATCACTGTTAATACATTCAATAGATTAAACTCATTTGTACCTTTCAAAATGACAGGTTTTATTACTAAACATTAAGAAATAACTAATTTTCATAACAGCTCATGGAAAGTTTTTACAAATTTCTCTAAGAATAGATTATTACAATTTGTGTCAGTTTAGAACACATTGTACCACCTTTAACCTGAGCCAAAATTTAATCGAGGAAAATGATTTAATAACAAACCAAAGAATTATTCATTTAGATGAGCTGACTGAAGGTCTGATCTCCAATAACCAGTATCACTTTTTTAAAGTGTGAACAGGGAATACTACAAATGTTGAAGTTTAATGCTTGGGTTTTTCTGATTCTAAGAGGAAAAGTGATATGTTCAGAAATATCCCATTCTGTAAAATAAGGCCTAAGGTAAAGTTCAATTGTGAACATCGGACCAAGGCTATAAATGCCATTTACATTATTTTCAGTATCGTGGGTTATATTTAAATTTTTCCTACAATAAAGCACATGTTTATAATTAAAAAATAAAGTATATAGCTTCAAAATCTGCTCAAATATCAGTTTTTTGCATTCTGCTTAAAGCTTGTCAAGCTTCCATATGTTCACATTATCTGAATATAATGTGTGTCATCCCCAAGTGTGTGACACACAGTACCTACTATATCATACTATATAGACCCTTGTCAAGGAAAAATAGATGTCTTCTGTTGCCTAAAGCTGAGGTCAAGTCCAATTGAGAAAAGTGACCTTTATGCAATCTACCCGTTCCTCAATATTAGTTCCATCCAATAAAACAGTCTGCAGCAACAGAAATATTCTGTGTTGTCAGATGGGGTAGCCTTGAGGCACAATGAGCTGTGGCCAGTGAGCCCCTGAGCTGGCTAATGTGGCACAAGAACTGAATTTTTAGCTTCGTATTCGTTAGTTTACATGCAGATATCCACATGTGGCTGTTGGGTGATGCAGCTCTGCAGAATCTAGGTTTTAGCCTCACATGCCATACCCTGGAGACGTACATATTCAGACCACGTCAACCTACTCAGGTGGCACCATTCTCCCCTCATCACTCTCTCCACCTCCGCCTTTCTCTCACCAGCCATTACACTTATTACTGGATGTATATGAGATAGCAATTCTCCATAACAAAGGCCATCAGGACATTTTTGCTTTTATATCTCTTCTGTAACAGAACCAAAAAATGACATATCAATTCACACCTTTTAAGATGGATCTGAAAAGTTTCTAATTTACTGAAATAATTACAAAGAGTACAATTGCTGACACTGTAAATATTGACGTTTTAAAATAAAACTGTTACATCATTTGTGAACATATCCACTGAAATCTAAAAACCATAGAAATTTGAAAGCCAGCAATTTCCATTTAAAAAACAGGAACAAGCTCTTCTTCAAAGAAATTATAGATCACTACATTTCCTCATTGAATTTGGAGTTCTTTTCCATTTAGCTTATATCATTTTATCCTAATGTATTTTTATACTTTAAAGCCTTTATTGATCATTACATCCTAATCTTATAAAAATTGATTTTATATTTCATGTGTCTTTAAAAGCTTTAACGTTTTTTTAAGAAATAATTCTTCTGGATTAAATTATAAGCACTTGTTCAGCCAAACTGGGTTTTGCAAAGACGACCTATGAAATTTGAGTTTCATAAACTTCATTCTCTTTAAGACATCCCGGTTTGGTATTCTATAGAAAGTATTCATCACCCCCAAGCATCATCATAACCAATCTGAAGAACCTGCTTGGTGCCTCTAGAAGGGCGACTTGAGAAATCCTTCAGACTCGAGTGGCAGATGTAGATCAGTTTTCTCTGAGGAATGATGGCTATGAATTTCTCAAGGATGCAAATCTTGTCACAGGGAAACCCCGTTTCATTGTGTGGTCCTTAGATTCTGTTATGACTCAGTATTTCTGTTCTCCAAATTTATAGGCTGAAATCCTAATCCCCCTATGAAGGTATTAAGATGAAGGGTCTTTGGGAGGTGATTATGCCATGAGGGGGGACCTTCTGATTCAGATTAGTGCCCTTAGAAAATTGGATTTGGATTAGTGCTTTTAGAAAAGGGACGCCAGAGAGCTCCCTGCTCATTTTTCTGCCATGTGAGGATGCACAGAAAGGCTGTTCTCTGTAACAGGTAAGAGGGCCCTCCAGAACCCGACCACGCTGGCAACCTAATCCTCCCAGGACTGTGAGAAATCCATTTCTGTGGTTTATAAGCTGCCCAGTCTATGGGAGCATTCCAAAGGCACTAAGACATGTTCTGAAGTACATTGAAAGGCCATCATTAATACATTACTTTGTTATTTCTCTATCACTTTCATCCTCTAGCATATCTATAGTTTTCCCAATTATTTTGCCCACTTGTGGGGAACTCCTTATTAACTGGATAAACCTTAGAAAAATGTCACAACCCAGTAATTTTTTTTTTTTTTGAGACAGAGTCTCACTCTGTCACCAAAGCTGTAGTGCACTGGCACAATCTTGGCTCACTGCAACCTCTGCCTCCTGGGTTCGCACCCGGCTAATTTTTGTATTTTTAGTAAAGATGAGTTTTCACAGTGTTGGCCAGGCTTGTCTGGAACTTCTGGCCTCAAGTCATCTGTCTGCCTCGGCCTCCCAAAGTGCTAGGATTACGGGCATGAGCCACCACATCCGGCCCATAATTTAAGTAATTTCTTAATTTCTCAGGGTGAATCAATCCTGGTAAGGTTGGGGTCAGCCTCTGCCTAATGCTTCTCAGGATACCAGATGTCCTGCTAGTCTGCTACTTCACCTGCAGGGCCTTAATGTTGATTAATTTGCAAATAGAATGCACCTAGACAATTTAGTAATGACTGTGTTTTCTCCTTCCTTTGTTAATGTATACAGTAATGGCAACCACCTCAAACACTTGTTAGATATGCTAGGATAAAAAATATATAGACGGGAAAAAAGGAGACAGGAAATAAAAATAAATCTATATACTCAACTAAAGAATACATTCTCTTGTGAGAATGAAGAATCATAATATTTTACAGGTAAAAGGGACCAAAAACGTTACTGAGCCTCATCACTCCTGTGTTCAAGGTTTGTATTTTATCAATCACCTCAAAACTTCTGCACGGCGATTATAATAAAATATTTACTATCTAGGAAGAAAACAATAAGCTGAACAATATGAAGCCTTAAACCATCAAAACACTTACGTCTTTGTTTGGTGCATTATTGACAAAGCAATGAGAAAACAAACAAAAGGAAAAACAAAACAGAAAAATATAAAAATCACAACCATTGTTAAATGTAAAATGATTATTGATGTGTATTCAACAGCCCTAAATAATGAACAGACTATAATGGCGAACTTATCCTAGGAGGATGCAGATTCGTAGACAACTAATAAATCCAAATGGCCCTGTTTATTTGGAAAAGAGAAACGAATTTACTCTGCAGCAAAGCTAGCTTAACTCCCTCTTATTATTTATTGATTTTTCTATTTTCAGCTTTTTATGCCACTTAACTAGTACATGGCTAATTATTTTCCAATGGCTAGAAACACATGATTTATTTTCAAAGAACGTTGATGTACGGTATGTGTCTGAAAAATAATGTCTTTGGAGTTGATAAAAGAGCATATTTATTTATTTATTCTAGAGGTCTACAGTCATCCAGCTTTTAATCATCTATGAATGGATCTGCTGCGATGCACATCTTTCATCTATCTCTGTGAGGCTGGAAAATAGTCCAACCAGCTTTGAACTACTTGCTGAGATGACATTAAGTTAAAAAAGAAAAGATCCAGCCAGGCGCTGTGGCTCATGCCTGTAATCCCAGCACTTTGGAAGGCCCAGGCAGGCGGATCACGAGCTCAGGAGATCGAGACCATCCTGGATAACACGGTGAAACCCCGTCTCCACTAAAAATACAAAAAATTAGTGGGGCGTGGTGGCTGGTTCCTGTAGTCCCAGGTACTCGGGAGGCTGAGGCAAGAGAATGGCGTGAACCCAGCAGGCGGAGCCTGCAGTGAGGGGACATTGCGCCATTGCCTTCCACCCTGGGAGACAGTAAGACTCTCCGTCTCAAGACAAGACAAGACAAGAGACAAGACAAGACAGAAAAGATCCACTCCCCAGTAAAATCAGCAAAATGCAGTACTCTCTCATATTGCCCTATCAACTCCATCAATTCCTTGTGTCTGGTTTTTGAAACTTTTTTCAGGTTTGAGAGTGCTAAGAGGGCTTTCTAATTCTAGTCACTGCTAACATAATTTAAAGTAATGTAGAAAAAAATGGAATGCACTATTTGCTTTTATTCATCAAAGGCTTTCGGAGCCTTCATCCTCTTCCAGACACTGACCTGGACATTTGGTATATGGTATTCACTAGGTTTGATTCACCAGGTGAATGTTTTGTCAATTCTCTACTCAAGGACTGTCTATTAAATACTTTATCTTTTGAAACTACTATTTGTTTGAATTTGTTGATACTGTAATGTACAAAAGACACACTGAGTGTCTAAACTAATGCTAATTTTTTTTAAGTCTAACGAAGCAAATAGTAGCTGGACAGACCTTATTACCTATACCCAAAACTATTTTTAACAAGTCTCTGTTGTCCCTCCAGGAGAGAAGTTGACGCGTTCCTTCACCATTGTCAGGCTTCGCCATTTGACTTATGTTGGCCAATTAAACGTGAATGGATAGTGTGAGCATCACAGCTGGCAATTCAGAAAACTTTTATCAATGGCGCCACATCAGGGGTAGAAAAGGGGTTGGCACGTAATTCACAAAATGCAATTTGGTTCTCTGAGGACAAAACTCGAAGGGTTCATATTTTGAAATAGTCCTTGTCATTGAGTTTAGAAATCTTCAGCTCTAGCCAGTTGCAATTCTTCCATGTTCCCTTCCTTGGCCTCCTTGAAAACAGTCTCCCTCTCCCTCCTTGCAATTCATTTCCCTGTAACTGGAGTGCAAAAATCTCAACCTGAAATGAATTCTTTACATCATGATTTCCTCAACCACATGGCCAGCCACTTCCAGAAGGGCTAGTCATTACTGTGGCCTCCACAGCACTTAGCACGGTGCTCGGCACAGAGGGTTATACTATACATATGTGCTTCATTCAATTCTAAAAACTAAATCTTGTGATATCGGCTGACATTTTCAACTTTGTAAATTTTGACTCACTGCCATTTTAAGAAAATCATCAGAGTAAGAGCAAAGAGGCTTATAGAGAAGCATCTTTTTTTTTTTCAAAGTTAATTTTCTTTTTTTCTTTTTTTATTTTTTATTTTATTATTATTTTTTTTTTATTGATCATTCTTGGGTGTTTCTCGCAGAGGGGGATTTGGCAGGGTCACAGGACAATAGTGGAGGGAAGGTCAGCAGATAAACAAGTGAACAAAGGTCTCTGGTTTTCCTAGGCAGAGGACCCTGCGGCCTTCCGCAGTGTTTGTGTCTCTGGGTACTTGAGATTAGGAAATGGTGATGACTCTTAACGAGCATGCTGCCTTCAAGCGTCTGTTTAACAAAGCACATCTTGCACCGCCCTTAATCCATTTAACCCTGAGTGGACACAGCACATGTTTCAGAGCACAGGGTTGGGGGTAAGGTCACAGATCAACAGGATCCCAAGGCAGAAGAATTTTTCTTAGTATAGAACAAAATGAAAAGTCTCCCATGTCTTCTACTTTCTACACAGACACAGCAACCATCCGATTTCTCAATCTTTTCCCCACCTTTCCCCCCTTTCTATTCCACAAAACTGCCATTGTCATCATGGCCCGTTCTCAATGAGCTGTTGGGTACACCTCCCAGACGGGGCGAGTGGCCGGGCAGAGGGGCTCCTCACTTCCCAGTAGGGGCGGCCGGGCAGAGGCGCCCCTCACCTCCCGAGTGGCTGGCCGGGCGGGGGGCTGATCCCCCCACCACCCTCCCGGACGGGGCGGCTGGCCAGGCGGGGGACTGACCCCCCCATCTCCCTCCCGGACGGGGCGGCTGCCAGGCGGAGACGCTCCTCACTTCCCAGACAGGGTGGCTGCCGGGCGGAGGGGCTCCTCACTTCTCAGACAGGGCGGTTGCCAGGCAGAGGGTCTCCTCACTTCTCAGACGGGGCGGCCGGGCAGAGACGCTCCTCACATCCCGGACAGGGCGACAGGGCAGAGGCGCTCCCCACATCTCAGGCGATGGGCAGCCGGGCAGAGATGCTCCTCACTTCCTAGATGGGATGGCGGCTGGGAAGAGGCGTTCCTCACTTCCTAGATGGGATGGCGGCCGGGCAGAGACGCTCCTCACTTTCCAGACTGGGTAGCCAGGTAGAGGGGCTCCTCACATCCCAGACGATGGGCGGCCAGGCAGAGATGCTCCTCACTTCCCAGACGGGGTGGCGGCCGGGCAGAGGCTGCAATCTCGGCACTTTGGGAGGCCAAGGCAGGCGGCTGGGAGGTGGAGGTTGTAGCGAGCCGAGATCACGCCACTGCACTCCAGCCTGGGCACCATTGAGCACTGAGTGAACGAGACTCCGTCTGCAATCCCGGCACCTCGGGAGGCCGAGGCTGGTGGATCACTCGCGGTTAGGAGCTGGAGACCAGCCCGGCCAACACAGCGAAACCCCGTCTCCACCCAAAAAATACGAAAACCAGTCAGGCATGGCGGCGCGCGCCTGCAATTGCAGGCACTCGGCAGGCTGAGGCAGGATAATCAGGCAGGGAGGTTGCAGTGAGCCGAGATGGCAGCAGTACAGTCCAGCTTCGGCTCGGCATCAGAGGGAGACCGTGGAAAGAGGGGAGAGGGAGAGGGAGAGGGAGGGAAGCATCTTAATCTCTAATGATACCAAGTTCAGTGGCAAAGAAGCTTTTGTATAAATTATTAAGACTAGAGATGGTCACTGCAAAAGCAGTTTCTAAGGTACCCAAACTCAGAAAGTAGCAAGGTAGTTGCTAGGAGCTGAAGGGAGGGGGATGTGGGTATAGAGCTTCAGATTTGCAAAATGAAATAGTTCTAGAGATCTTCTGCACAACAGTGTGAATATAGTTAATACTATATGTAACGTTAATGGTCCATACAAAAATGCTTAAGATGGTAAATTTTGTGTGTTTTTCACTACAATTAAAAGAAGAAATCATGCGTTGTATATTATAAAGAGCCACCACCAAAACAAAGGCGAGAAAATTTTGCATTTCCTCTGAGCCCTTCCAACGTATCCTTTCTTGGGGTATTTAAAGTCACTGGGTCCCAGTTTCCTCATCTGTAAGTTGTTAGCGTTTGATAGAAAGGACTCCACTAGTTGGTGCAGGAACGGTCAACCAGGTTTTAGACTGACATTAAAAAGGTGGCAGGGGTTTCTTCCCTGTGTTTTTTTGTCTCTCACGAGCATCATCTTTTTTTCTTCAGTTTTATTGAACGGTAATTGACAACTAAACTGTATATGTTAAAAGTATACAACTTGATGTTTTGATATACTTGTACCCTGTGAGATGAATGCCCCAAACAAGCAAATTAACATATCCCTCACCTTACACAGCTAATATTCTCGTTAATTTTTCTTTGTGTGTGTGTGTGTGCATGCGTGCATATGTGTGTGTGGTGAAGACACTTAGAATCTATTCTCTTACCCCCTCTAAAAAAAGTCTTAGTTTGCCAACGACTTCCTGCCATACCTCCTGCAAGAAGCCTGCGTGTGAGACAGAATTTGCTCTGCTCCTGTTCCTTAGCCTTGAAAGGGTCACCCCGTTACTTAGGAATGGAATATCACCATGTTTATTCCACCATTTCAAACACAAATATCCCCGACACTATAGGTAGACAAAAGACACAAAGTCTCACCTCTGATAGATTTTAAACATACATCTAATAAAGGATGTACATTTTTTTGCAATAAGGCAAACATCAACGCAACTTGATTGTTATGTCATGAGAGGTCCAGTTTCACTATGAGCAAAACGTGTGGAATAGTTTACTATCGGCAGATTATACACCATACAATAGAGTGGGAAAGATCCCATAAAAGTACTGCTTCTTTAGATAAAAACAAAGAATAAATAAATGTGTTTTGTATTTTGAGCCTTATAGAAACTGAGCCACTGACCTCCAGGTTAGACTTGGAACAGATAGATAACAAAGGAAGAGAAAATCGTATACCTTTCCTTTGTGTAAGAAGAGAAAAAGAACAAAAGAAAAAGGTACATAAAGAAAAAGAAAAAAGCCCACATGAACAAGGCACATTTTTAGATTCTGCTTAAAATATATAACCTGACAAACAACAGGCCAAATTTCAGATCCCCATGTAGTATGTAACTTCCGAAGCTCAAAAAATAAAATCCTATTTTCAGGCTTCCGAATACTCAGTAGGAAGCTCCTTCAGGTATATATGCCAGCAATTGTTGCTGGACACATTTCTGAAATTAAACTACTATGACGAAAGATAAAAATGATTTGAACTTGTAATCATTGGTATTGATTTTAGTAGCAAAACAAAATGAGAAAGAAAGAAAAAGAGATTCAACTCCAGTACTAATTCTTTTATTCTATAATAGTTACCTTTGCATGCAAGTATTGGAAATTAACGGCAAGAAAAATATTCATTTGAAACCATATTATCCCCTGGCATAAATAAAAACACTCATTTAATTAACTATACTTTTGAGGTATAATTGCATACTGTATAATTCCTTAAAGTGTAAAATTCAAAGAATACATAGCTGTGAAACCAAGAACACAATCAAAATCCAGATTGTTTCCATCTCCCTCCAAACTTCCCTAGTGCTTCACTGCAGCCCCTTCCCGCCATCAGCTCTAGCAACAGGAACCAATGATTTGCTCAGTGACACCGTAAGATTAGATTTCATTTTCTAGAATTTGTTATAAAAATAATGTATACAAGTAGTATGATCTGCCTTTCACTAAGTGAAATGTATCCATGTTTCTGCACAATAAAGTAATATTTTCCATTTATTGCTGAGTAGTATTCTATTGGGAAATAACTCATATTGTTTATCCATTTACTTATTCATGCCTATTTCAGTCTTTTCCTGTTTCCAGTTTTTTCCTACTATGAATAAAACCACTAGGAACATTTATTTCTAATTTTTGGTAAAACCATGATTCAACTGATCTTTACTGAGTATCTAAGAATGGAGTTGCTGGGCCAAAGAGTAGATGTAAGTTTAACACTTTGAGAAAGTCTCAGATAGTACACATTGATTATACCATTCCGCATTCTCCTTCAAAGAGTATTACAGGTCCAGTTTCTTCAAACTCTAAGCATCATTTGATATTTCAGACATTTTAATTTTAACCATTCTAGTATTACGTTATCTGGTTGTGATTTTAACTTACATTTTTCTGATAATTAAAGAACCTTTTATATATCCACAACTAATCGTATACCTTTTTTTGTAAAATGTTCAAAACTTTTTACTCACTTTTAAAAATTGGATGTTTGCCCTTCTATTGAGTTGTAGTAATTTTTAACAAACTCTGGATTCCAGTAGATTTTAGAAATGTATATTGTTAAGATGTCCTTCCAGTTTGTGGCTTTCCTTTTTATTATTTTCATTTTTATTATGAATTTTTGAGAAGCTTTGTGACCCAGGCTGGAGTGCATTGGTGCCATCATGGCTCACTGCAGCCTCCCAGCCTCAAACGATCCTCCCATATCAGCCTCCCAATTACCTGGGACTATAGGCACATGCCACCACACCTAGCTTATTTTTAAACATTTTTGTAGAGTTGAGATCTCACTGTCTTGCCTGGGCTGGCCTAAAACTCCTGGCCTCAAATGATCCTTCCACCTCAGTCTGCCAAACTGTTGGATTTACAAGCATGAGCCACTGTCCCAGCCATGTGCATTTTTAATACTGTATTACCACGATTATTAGTATTTCATTTTTTAATTTTTTCCTTTTATGGCTGTTACTTTATGTCTAGGAAAAAGTTGCCCACCCCAGAGTAAAAACGATTTTGTCTTATCTCCTTTTTTCTACAAGTTTCACAGGCTTAAATGTGATATTTAGTGTTTTCCAAATTTCACGTACACCTGGAACTTCAGATTGTAATCTTCTTTGGAAATAGTGTTTGCAGATATAATTTAGGTAAAGATCAATGTGGGATCCTATTGGATTAGGGTTTGTCCTAAGTCTGATCAGAGCATCCTCATAAGAGATAGAAAAGGGTACATGGAGATATGGAAAAGTCAATGGGACGTTGGAGGCTGAAATTGGAGTGGTTCATCTACAAGCGAAGGAGCTCTGGGATTGCTGGCGGCTACTGGAAGCCATGAGAGACATGAGATGGTTTCCCAAAAGGCTTCCAGGTGGAGGCAAAATTCCTGACAAAATCTGTGACTCCTGGCCTCTTGAAATGTCAGATAATAACTTAATGTTGTTTTAAGCCACTCAGTTAGTGGTAATTTGTTACGGTAACCACAGGCAACTAATACACCCTATAATTGACTTGGACTTAATTTTGGTATACGTATATTTGGTATATGTATAAGGGTAGATGAATCTTGTTTCTATATTCATTTCAAATTGTTCCAGTTAAACCAGAATCATTTATCTAGATTAGCTTTCTTGAATTTTTAGATTCACGCCAAATATATTTTATTCATACTACCTGGATCTTTTAAATTTCCCAGGTTTATAAATAATTTAAATATATGTTATTACACACATGCACATTTTTACTTATCTGATCTTCTTGATGTATTAGCTGATTACTAGAGACTTTTACTTGTTTTTCCTCTAACAACCCTCCTTTTCTTGATGCCTATATTGTTAGATAGTCATATGGTAACTATAGCCTTTATTTGCTTCTCGTTTTACTATCAATCTATTTGTGTGTAAAGTTTATCTCTTTTGCATAAGACTGGCTCTGCTTTTTTATTTAGTCTGAAAATCCTGACTTTCGATCAGTGTTTAGCTACTTTTTATTCAATATCAGGATCAATATAGTTTTATGTAGGCTTTTCCATTTTGCTGTCAGACATTCCTTTTACCTTGTTTTTTTATGTTCCTCCCATCTTGCCTTATTTGCACTTTAATTATTTATCTTTGAAATTATATATTTGCATTGTTTTGTGGTTGTACAGGTTACCAAGATTTATATATCTCTCAATATCTTTGAAATGATATAGAATTACAGCAGGTAAACTATAGACAATTTGCAATGGTATATTTTTATTTTCTCCCATCTTAACACTATTGTCATATATAGCATATGTGTATTATTTATAATGCCATTATTACAGTGTTATCCTTTTTTGTTTTAAACATTAATGCGATTTTCAAAGAAATTAAGGTAAAATAATGTGTATACGTATTTTATATATACATATATGGGATATATACACGGGTACCTGTGTGTATATATTTACTGTAAGTATATATATTATATATACTATATAATATGTAGCATATTTATGTGTGATTCTACATAAATGTATATACATATACAAAGAAAGAGAAGAAAGAGAGAGTTATCTAATGAGTAATTTTTTAACATTTCCAATGTTCTTTCTATTTCCTTCGGAAAGCATCTCTCTTCAGCTTAGAAATTTTTCTCTAGTCCTTACTATATTGCAGATGGGCTTAAGAAAAAAATGTATGAGTTTTCCTCCATATAAAAAGGGATTCAATTAGAGATATAATTTCACTGGGTAGAAACTTTCTGAGAGGTGTTTTTGTCTTTTCATATCAGCACTTTAATGTGTCATTGACTTTCTAACTTCTGGTGAAATCTCAACCACCATGCTTACCACTGTTTCCTTGTACACAACACTTGATTTTTCTCTGAATGCTTTGGAGATTTTGTGTGTGAATTTGATACAACTCGGAATAATTTTTGTGTATATTTGTTGGTTAGATTATTTTGAATTTCTTGAGTTTTAAATAAGTATTTTCAATACTCTTCAGAAAGTTTTTAGCTATTACTCCTTCAAGATTCTCTTTTGATAATTTCCACTTAATCTTATCTCCTTCTGGAATTTCAAGTATGTATGTGAGATTTTTAGTATTATCCCATGCATCCATGAGCTTCTGAGATATGAAACAACTGCAGCACACACAAACCCACACATGTGTTCTCTTGTTTTTCTTTTTGTGTTGAGTAATTTCTATTAATGTACTTTCAACTTCAGTAATTATGTCCTCTCATCTCTAATTACTACTGGTCTCATCTATTGAATTTCTATTTCAGTTATTATAGTTTTCATCTCCATTTGTCTGTTGAACCTTGTGCTTATTAATACTACCATTTTAGAGCTTTTTTTAATTCATAAAACATATATATATGTGGATGTATATAATTGTTGAAGTTTTCATTTGCTTAGTCCTACATGACAACCTTCTCAGTTTCCATTGATGGATTTCTTTTCCTAAATGTGGGCCACATTTTCCATCCTGAATATCTAGTAACTTGTGGTTGAAATCAAGCAGTGCACATCGTCAATAATACATTACTCTGTCAATAATAATCTGATGTTTTCTTCTGACATTTTTGTTATTGTTATTCTAGTGGGTTGTTTACCTGTCTGGAATGATACTGCAATGTTTTCTTCCCTACCATACACAGCTGCTAGTAGTTTTCCTCTTTATGTGCAGTTCCACAGTTCTTTTTGATTTTTTTCAGCAAGTGATATGTTTTGGCTGTGCCCCCACCAAAATTTCATTTTGAATTTTAGCACCCATAATCTCCACGTGTCCACGTGTCATGGGAGGGACACAGTGGGAGGTAATTGAATCAACTGAATCATGGGGGCAGGTTTTTCCCATGCTGTTCTTGTGATAATAAACAAGTCTCCTGAGATCTGATGGTTTTATACAGGCTGCTCCACAGCACAAGTTTTCTTGCCTGCTGCCATGTAAGACATGCCTTTGCTCCTCCTTCACCTTGCCATGACTGTGAGGCCTCCCTAGCCATGTGGATTTGTGAGTCCATTAAGCCTCTTTTTCCTTATATATTACCAGTCTTGGGGATTTCTTCATAACAATATGAAAATGAATATAGCAAGGCACTCTGAAAAATTTCAGCCTTATATAATTTGGCAGTTAATTAAGAACGTGGGCAGAGGAAGTTCACCTCTGTGTCTCCAAGAGCCTTAGAGTCTGTCCTCTAACTCTTCAAGCCTGCTGCACAAGGTGTGCATGAATTGGAAGTAGAGTTTATTTAAAAAGCAGAAAATGTATCAATATTATGGACTGTAGATCTTTCAAGATTTTGTTCCTATTTCCTATAGGGGTTTCAAAGCCTGTGAGGTCTCCAGTTTATAAGCATAATATTCCAGCTCTCAGTGATTACTGGAGCAGTGCTTACATTGAGCATTTGTGTCTCAGTCCTCCTTCACTTCTCTCAGCCAGCGTGGTCCTTTTATATTCCAGAGACTTTCTCCTCATTCATTCATTCATGTATCTATATCTATATATCTGTATCTATATGCAACTTCCTCTGCTTTGGGTCACTTCTCATGTTTCTAAACAGGAACTCCTTAAAAACCATTTTTAAATTATTTTACCCGTGCAGAATTTTTGCATAACCATTTCATTTCACAGCCATTTACAGAAGCCTAGATACTTCTATTTTAAACAGAAAAAAATAATATGCTATTTTATGAAGCTATTAATTTGGGTGTTGAAGGTAGAGATATCAATTCTGTGTCACTAATTGTGGAAAGTAAGAGAAGTATTCCTCCCTATTCCCAATGGCTCTAATTTCATGGGCGACAAAACATCTTTGAAAAATAGCTGCTTAAAGGTGTTGGCCGACTGACCATGAGGACTGGCCTTGGAGCACCTTTTGGAAGGCATCATGCATATATTGCCTTTCTAAAGTGATGTGTTATAGTGGCAGGACTCCGGTAGGATTTCTCTGGGAAATATCCCACTTTATACATCCTGCTTTGCCAAAGAGGAAGTGAGAAACTCATTTGGAGCTCAGACACAGTGATGTGAGGTGGCGCCGAATGTAACTGCTCCCACGTGAGATTTTTACTTGGAATAGAGTAGCATGAGACAGGAGATGCCACACAGGATCTCCTCTGGTGAGCGAGCAAATTAGTGAGGGATCGCAGCTTTTCAAAACAATAGCGGCAGAGCTGCCAGCAACAGATTTCAGAGCTTGAAGTTGAATGCTGCCATTACTGTTGAGCAGCAGAGGCACATGGTCAGGGGTACCGCACTACCTCTCCATTGCTTTTGCTCCTGTCTGTGTGGCCTCCAAGCCTGATTCTCTCACCCTCCCGCAGATTTCTAATATCCTTTAATATACTCCTCTTCTGCTTAATCTAGCTAGGGTGGGTCATGGTTTCTGCACCTAAAAACTCTAACACATGCATTTCTTCTTAGGCATCAGACTCACTGTTTGGTGAATATAACTAATTTTTACAGTATCTTTTTCATTAGACATCTAGTTTTGTTAGATTTGTTTTTCTGAAAATGTGTATGTGGGGTGGGTGTGTGTGCATTCACCTCTGAAATGTACTGAAGTAAAAACTGGCCCCTTGTGATCCTGCCCTTGCAGGTCCTAATTTTCTCAGATAACAGAGAAGGAAATTTATTAAAAAACTGTGGTGGTATGCAAGTGGTAAGAAATTTAGATTCTAAAACTAAACATTACATATGTTTATTAATATATCATATATGTTTCGTAGAACCCAGCGTTTAAATATTTATTAAGTATTTCAACCATGCAGTATATTGCTTCTGAGGTAAGTCTGCTGTACTATTCCGGCCCTAGTAAATACTTAATGCTTTGACCTATTCCTATTACCATAGGTTACCAGGCCACCAAATAAAACAAGCCAATCCAGCATTTGTCCATACAGGAAAATGTGTGAGCTCCCAGGGATTACTGATCATCCTCTTCAAATCAACCTTCTCTTTACAGAAATGCCAAGTCTGCTTTTTCCCAATGATACAGCAATCTCGGATGCAGAATTCATGAAAGCTGAACCATCTTGTTAGCAAGCCTTCTAAGATACGAAAGGGCAATATCCGGTTCCTGATGGCATGAGATGGTCCCGCCTTCGGGATCTAATAGTGAACTCATGGCTTGATGATGCACGCCACTTTTGTACATTCCTAGCTCCTCCATTTACAAGCTGTTTACATTTGTCCAGTTACTTGTTAACTATTCTGGGACTCATTTCTTCTCATCTGTGAAAACTGAATTATAGTACGTACTCTGCAAAATTCTTATCTGGATTGAGATTTTACCTGTAAAATACTAACTACAACTCCTAGCACAAAATAAGCACTCAGAAATATTGACTTAAAAAAAATAACACTATGCATTTAGGACATTCTAAGATGACGCATGCCTCGTGTACTGATGAAAAGCAGCAGAGAGTACTTTCCAAGGCATTTTCACCACATCCTTATGATGACACATCTCTCCTGCATCTTCGTCCACACCTTTCACAGTGAGGAGTGCAACTCTCTCTCTTTAACATGAAAAGGGACTCATGGCCTCTGTGTTTTGGGCATAGGCCACGTAGTCAGGGTGTTTCGGAAGCATTGTTTTAAGCACTTTATTAACCTGATAATTCATTTTATCTTTTTAGATATGATGCTCTTTTAAGGTTTCCTTGAGATAATACAAATTCTAAACCACCTACTTTCAGGAAACTTGAACTGAATCATGGGGATACTTTGAGTTGCATTGGATTTTAATCCTAGTGGTGCATCCTGGGAATATTTTTCTCCGTCTTGCAGAGCCTGCCCTCCTTCCCTTGCTTTCACAGGTGTAGTGTGTCCAAGTTGTCCTGAACACATTCTGCAGGGTATATTGCCTCTCTGGGATGCCTCATTCTGCAGAGGTATATTGCCCCTCTGGGATGATGCCACTGTGGGCAGCACATCCTGGCACCTGCTTGCTGTGGCCAGCACTTTTATTTGAAACAGAACATTTCATTCCTGTGACATGTAACAATGTGGTCTTATTGTGTAGAAGGTCTTTTTAGAGAATTTTACCTATCTAATTCGGTTCAGGCAAGGTATAATTTGTAAAGGACTCCATTATACGTAGTACAGGGAACTCTGTAAGTCATCAACACCTTTCCCAATCATAATGGGTACTCAGTAGCTTGGATTTACCACATCAGCAGAAATGCAAACAGGTAACAGAATCAGCCTGTGACGAGGTGAAACTGTGGTCTGACAGAGTGAATGTCAGAATAAAATGCATCTTATTATTTGTTAACAGTAAAATACCTTATTTACATTGGCTTTAATCAGACCCTTATCAGTACATGTAAAAACTATTTTGTTTTGCTTTTTAACATCTGGTTTTATTTCAATAGCATATTAAATTTATTACCATGAGATTCTTTTGTTATGAAGCAAGGAATTAGCATGTCTTGCACAATTAAATAGTCTATCGTAAAAACAGGTTGTTGAACTATCATCCTGCAGTCCATATTACCCCCACTCATGTTTTTTAGTTTTGAAATTTAGAAATAAACAGAATGTTTTAAAAATAACAATGATCATTTTAGAAAATATTGGTCATTTTGTTTCCATATTGTTTAATGGAGTCTAAACTTTTAAAAGGGAAATAGTTCTCTTTCAAAGTTGAACTGCCCACATTTCACTCACACACCCACAAATGGAATGTTATGTATAAAAGCTGGTATTCTCACCACTTACAGGCCCCCTGAATGCAATTCTAATAGATGGCATAATAGATTAGAAAAAATAAAAAAGAAGCATTGAACGGTAGCATTGAAATCTGTTAATAGAAAAAGGTTATAAAATTACATTATAGGTCAGCATTTGATGCATAAGATATAGAGAAAACCAACTTTTATAACTATAGCCTGCAAAGGCAATTACACTAGAAAAACATGCAAAATAAATGTTATTCGCTGATGCTAATTGATTTCTTTTCATTCTGGTCTCATACTGTGTCAAATTCAAGGTAATAATAGAGAACAAAACAGCTTGATTACAAAATTGTTGAAAGAGTGGGACTGGGGAGGAGTAGGTCCCGTACAACCGATGGATCTGAATGGGTTTTAAGTAAATCTTAATTTAGAACTAGAAAGTGGAAACATCCACCTACACGAACACACTGGAAAAAATAATAACGTTAAATAAATGTCTGATTTAACATTTAAATTAAACACCGGCATTACAGACTTCTAAGAGCATTAATTCATTGTAGATTTTCCTGACACATAATACATTGGGCAATTTCCACTAGAAAATATAATGGAAATATAAAAATACACAAAATATAAAAATTGAAAATGGAGCTATAAAATCACTCTGCACCTCCAGGTCATCCAGCTTCTGGCTCTGTCTATCCACGAGGCTTCCAAAGGCACCCAAAGACGTACCCAACAACCTCAGTGGAAATGACCATTACTGAGGCCTTGAGAGCTATGTTGTTCTAGTGCAGGCTTGTCTCTTCTTGGTACTGTTACAGTAGGTAGCTAGTCAGATATAAGCAGGGTCGGAGAGCCCCCACAACCACCAGGAATGTCAGAGAACCATCAGATGGTCAGGTGGTTACTAAACTGTCTCGCTTAAATAATAATTGATCACATCTGGCAGTAGGGAAAAATCTGTCTCCCACCAGATAGACAACACCTGAAACTGATGATCTGCAGCTTCCCGATAAGATTTCAGGAGTTAGGTGAGTGGGCTCAAGCATGCAGAACTAAGGCAAAATGGCAGAGTTTAACTGGCAGATGATCTTCCTCTAGGAACACTGGACTGGTAAGGGAACAAAGCCTCATGGGAGCCTGTGCAAAACTTCAGTAAACACTACACACTCAGCCCCTCCCAGGTCCTGGCAGACCACTGCACATATAGACAGCCTCAAGGGAAGAATCAGAGGAGAAGGAATGCAACCCCCCTAGAACCACGCCAACATATAAAACCTCCAAGTTAAAGGCCAAACCATGCACTTGAATCCCTCAAGTCACCCATTTGCCCCTCTTCCAAATGTACTTTACTTTCATTCCTGCTCTAGAGCTTTTTAATGAACTTCCACTCCTGCTCTAAAACTTGCCTATCTCTCACTCTGCCTTATGCTTCTTGGTCAAATTCTTTCTTTTAAGGAAGTAAGAATTGAGGTTGCTACAGACACATATGGATTTGCTTCTGCTATCAGTATAATGGATCCTAATCAGAATCTAAGTGCATATCACCTTGTCTAATAACACTCCTATGAACAAATATTAGGTCAATTAAAAAATGAGCAATACAAATTAACATGTTTATTGATAGGGAGTATCTAGACTTATCAAGAATAACTCCAAGATAACGTTATACACTTAGTTTCAATTGTCAAATTTAAAAAGTCAAAAAATAAAATAAGGATTCATTGAAAAGGATCCATTACAAGAAGTTAAAATCATCTAAAATAAAATGAAGAAAACAAAGTAGCAACAAATAAATATGAAAATCAGAAAATTATCAGCTACATTGATGAATAATTAAAATTCTTTGAAACAGTGTATAAACTTCTAAAAAGAGAAATCAGAGACAAAGTGAAAGACACAAAAATAAGAATCAAATAATGTTATAACTGGGGAAATAGGGATTTGAAACAATGTAATAGATACTAAGCATAATCAGATGGTAATTTTGAAAACACTGAAATCAATGCTTTATAAAACATAAGCATACATTATTTTATTAATATATAAATATGGTAATGGTATATGTGTGTTTGTGTGTGTGCGTGTGTATTTGCATTTGAACACTAGCTCAGGGATAAAAATCTTTACTATATTATTTCATGTCTTATTGAGGTGCCTGGCACTTATCCAAACAGTCAGTAAGCTTTATGTCATTTAATTTTTTTAAATTATGGCAAGAACATATTATGTGAAATCTACTCTCTTAAATGTTTTTAAGTCCACAATACAGCGTTATCAACCATAGGCACAGTGTCATATAGTATATTTCTAGAACTAAATCATTCTATGTAATCAAACATTTCTATCCATTGAACAGCAACTTCCCACTTACTGATCCCATTTAAATAGCAACTCCCCCTGGGAAACCTACTGATGATTTTAAAAGGTAAAAACAGAACCCAATTATCTCATTATTGGGACCCTGAATCCTAGCAGCCCATCATTGACATAATGACTAATCCATAAGGTAGATTTTCATTATAAAGCCTTAATCACTAGCCCAAGGCCTTTCAGCACCAGCACAGTGCAATCCTGCTCTATTCCTGAGGTCAACACACTCTCCTATGCCTCAAAAGTCCTACTCCAAAAGATCACTTCTCTCCCCATACCCCTGACCACGTGACCTCCACTCACCCTCCGAAGATGAACCCAGCCTTTTATTTAAAGGATAGAATCCATCAGAAAGAACAACCCACCTTCCTAATAACGTGTATTCTTCCTCCATCTACCTGTCTCATCTCCTTTTGCAATAGAGGGGCTAATTCTTCCCGTAAGACTAATTTGCAGCTGTGCTTTGAAATCCAACTACCCTTATTTTCATTAGGAATAATTTATGTGATAGGATTACCTGTATGTCAAGCCTGACTAGTCTAAGAGATGCCCAGATAGGTAGTAAAACATAATTTCTGAATGTGTCCAGAAGAGATTAGCATTTGAATCCACAGAATTTGAGAAAAGAAGATCCATCCTCACCAGTGTGAGTGAGGATCATGCAGTCCCTTGAGGGCCTGAGTAGAACCAAAAGGTAGAGAAAGGGCCAGGCATGGAGGCTTATGCCTGTAATCGCAGCACTTTGGGAGGCCAAGGGGGCAGATCACATGAGGTCAGGAGTTCAAGACCAGCCTGGCCAACATGGTGAAACCGAGACTCTACTAAAAATACAAAAATTAGCCGGACATAGTGGTGCACACCTGTGGTCCCAGCTACTCAGGAAACTGAGGCAGGAGAATTGCTTGAACCTGGGAGTCAGAGGTTGCAGTGAGCGGAGATTCAACCACTGCACTCCAGCCTGGGTGACAAAGTGAGACTCTGTCTCCAAAAACAAAGGTAGAGAAAGGGCAAATGCATTCCCTCTTCTTGAGCTGGAACATCTGCCCTCTCCTGCTTTGGGACATCTGTGCTCCTGGTCAGGCCTCAGACTTGCACTGAGACTTCCACCACTGGCTTTCCTGGGCCTCCAGCTTGCAGAGTGCAGATTGCAGACCTTATCAGCCTCCATACTTGCATGAGCCAATTCCCTCAATAAATGACTGTCCAGATAGACAGGTAGATACACAAATAGATAGATGTATCAGTAGATCAAAAGATTCTATTTGGTTCTGTTTCTCTGTAGAACCCTGAATAATATGGTATCGTTCAGCCCTATTTATGTTCATTGGTATATTCCATCTTTGTCTCTCATCTGCAGACTTTCTGTTGTTTTATAAATCATTCATGACTCTTCCATTTAAACAATCAAATCCTTCCTTAACTTTACATCTGTCTCTGGCCCGTGGCCTCCTGCTTCCTGTCTTCCATGGACAGACTCCCAAAGTAGCACTGGGTACTCACTGCCTTCCTTTTCATCATCTCTTCTTTCCTGGCCCACTGCTGCCAGCCTGTGAACAGGATCACACCACGGGGCGGCTTTCCCCAGAGTCAGGAGGTTCACTATGTAGCTAGGGCCAGAAGTCACTTTTTTGTAATAAGAATTTTTATTGCATTTTTTTCTGTTGCATAAGTTGGACATGATCCCTGTGGACACTTTAAAAGAGAAAAGCAAAATGACAGAAATAAAAATCCATCACAATCTCGATTACATTCCATTAGGTAATTTCATTTTGTTCACCTGAAATTTTACCGGGACCTTCTCTTCCTATTATTAAATATGTGGTTATAATATCATTTTTAAAAATCAGTGTCATGCAGGTGGAGTATAGCTTACAGAATCAATACCAAACTGTTGGAAACATACATTATTTTGCTTTTATGTTCAGTGCCGTGAAGAACACCATTGCAGATGAATAATCACATTCTCGGGTCAGTTTTGTATTCCTAAAGCTCACTGCATTTCACTTCTGAGCAACACTCAGAACAGGTGACCATTCTCCCAGAATTGCTGGCTCCTTCACTTTGATGGGCCGGTGTCCTTAAGTTCTTCCCTTATTAGTCACTGCTTCCCTCCTCTTCTGTAGGTCTGACCTCCTCCACCTTTTCATCTGGTTAGCCTTCATAGCTCGTTGGTGCCCTATTTACTTAAAATCATGTTTAATTATTTATATGAATAGGTGTGCAATCCCATTTCTTTCTTAAGTTTCTTCCTCTGGCTGGTGCATGATGGAGGAGACTGGTGGATTCCGTGGTTCCGGTCCCACAGAAGCACCCACTTCACTTGAACTTTGATCCATTAATCTGACTTGGTGTGATATATGACCCATGTTGGTGGATGCAACACTGTGAGCCCTTGCGTGATCCTGGTGACTGAGGCCCTACAGTCAGGAACCGCAACCTAATATCCAGAGCTTGCTGCTACCTCAGTCGTAATAAATCACTGCTATTGAAAGGGTGGAAGAAATCAATGTAGTCCACTTTCTCCCAAGTGCACATTGCTGCCTCAATCAGTACACCCAACTCTGTTTATAAACCCATCCGCAGCAGCACCAGGGGACCTCATAACAAAGGCTCGCTAATATCAACTCACCACACCAGTGCCCAGTGCACCATAGGGGAAGTTCTGATTTTTCCTTCTATATGTAGCAGCCAGATATAGGCCTGGTTTCCAGCAAAAGTAAATTATCCTATCTTGGTATATGTAGTTTCTCCATTTTGTGTCTCTTATCTCTTCTGGTGTTTTCAGCCAACCAACCCAGGTGGCTGGTAGTGAGTATTGGTTTCAAGGTTACAGCATGGTTCCAGTATCAAAGTAATACACAAAAATAAAGATTTTTATGATGGTGTGTAGCATAAGGAAAGAATTACACCCAAATAATCGGGAACTAGTTCAAACTATTTCTAATGCATAAGCTTATAAAGACTTGACTCCTTGATAACTTCATGATAGATAAGTTAGTTTTCTTCTAGGAGCTTTTTTTACTCATGAGTTAATAAGCCCCATTCCCATTATAATAAAAATATGTGTAACCACATATAACATAGTAACATATAAAGTACATCAGAGGCTATATGAACAAAAAACAGGTTAAAATTGATGTGAAGGTGAGTTTCTGGAGAAGACTTAAATCTGGCCAAAGCAGGAATCGGAAAACCTTCAGAATGCAGCATCCATACGTGAAAGAGGGTTGTTACCGCTGATCCAATGGACATTAAATATTATGGGTGACTCTATGCTCCCAAACTGAATAACTTGAATGAGATAAGCCAAGTTTTCAAAGACACAATCTACCAAAACTCACACATGAAACAGAAAAACATTTTGGATGATTCCAAATTTGGGGAAGAAAGCTTCCATAAACTTCTATGTGGAGGTTTTTATGTGGACATGTTTTCAACTCATTTGACTAAGTATTAACGTATGGAAAGAGGATGTTTAGTTTTGTAAGAAACAGCCAAATGCTCTCCCAGAGTGGAGTACCATTTTGCAAATGATTGAGTGTGCCTGTGGATCCATATTCTTGCTAAAATTTATGTTGTCATTTGAGATATTCTAGATTATAGACATTCTAGTACCTATGTCTTTATGTCACATGTGTGTTTTAATCTGAAACTCAATATTGATATATGTGATTGAGCATCTTTCATATGCTTATTTGTTATCTGCATATCATTACTTCCAGTGGATGAATAAACAAATTGTGGCACATGCATACAATGGAATATTATTCACTGAGAAGAAGGAAATAAAGGGTATTCAATTAGGAAAAGAGGAAGTCAAATTGTCCCTGTCTGCAGATGACATGATTGTATACCTAGAAAACCCCATTATCTCAGCCCAAAATCTCCTTAAGCTGAGGAGCAAATTCAGCAAAGTCTCAGGATACACAATCACTGTACAAAAATCACAAGCATTCTTATACAACAATAACAGACAAACGGACAGCCAAATCATGAGTGAACTCCCATTCACAATTGCTTCAAAGAGAATAAAATACCTAGGAATCCAACTTACAAGGGAGGTGAAGGACCTCTTCAAGGAGAACTACAAACCACTGCTCAAGGAAATAAAAGAGGACACAAACAAATGGAAGAACATTCCATGCTCATGGGTAGGAAGAATCAATATTGTGAAAATGGCCATACTGCCCAAGGTAATTTATAGATTCAATACCATCCCCATCAAGCTACCAATGGCTTTCTTCACAGAATTGGAAAAAACTACTTGAAAGTTCATATGGAACCAAAAAAGAGCCCACATCACCAAGTCAATCCTAAGCCAAAAGAACAAAGCTGGAGGCATCACACTACCTGACTTCAAACTATACTACAAGGCTACAGTAACCAAAACAGCATGGTACGGGTACCAAAACAGAGATATAGATCAATGGAACAGAACAGAGCCCTCAGAAATAACGCCGCATATCTATAACTATCTGATCTTGGACAAACCTAAGAAAAACAAGCAATGGGGAAAGGATTCCCTATTTAATAAATGGTGCTGGGAAAACTGCCTAGCCATATGTAGAAAGCTGAAGCTGGATCCCTTCCTTACACCTTATACAAAAATTAATTCAAGATGGATTAAAGACTTAAACGTTAGACCTAAAATCATAAAAACCCTAGAAGAAAACCTAGGCATTACCATTCAGGACATAGGCATGGGCAAGGACTTCATGTCTAAAACACCAAAAGCAATGGCAACAAAAGCCACAATTGACAAATGGGATCTAATTAAACTCAAGAGCTTCTGCACAGCAAAAGAAACTACCATCAGAGTGAACAGGCAACCTACAAAATGGGAGAAAATTTTTGCAACCTACTCATCTGACAAAGGGCTAATATCCAGAATCTACAATGAACTCAAACAAATTTACAAGAAAAAAACAAACAACCCCATCAACAAGTGGGCGAAGGACATGAACAGACACTTCTCAAAAGAAGACATTTATGCGGCCAAAAAACACATGAAAAATTGGTCACCATCAGTGGCCATCAGAGAAATGCAAATCAAAATCACAGTGAGATACCATCTCATACCTGTTAGAATGGCAATCGTTAAAAAGTCAGGAAACAACAGGTGCTGGAGAGGATGTGGAGAAATAGGAACACTTTTACACTGTTGGTGGGACTGTAAACGAGTTCAACCATTGTGGAAGTCAGTGTGGCGATTCCTCAGGGATCTAGAACTAGAAATACCATTTGACCCAGCCATCCCATTACTGGGTATATACCCAAAGGACTATAAATCATGCGGCTATAAAGACACATGCACACGTATGTTTATTGCGGCAGTATTCACAATAGCAAAGACTTGGAACCAACACAAATGTCCAACAATGATAGACTGGATGAAGAAAATGTGGCACATATAAACCATGGAATACTATGCAGCCATAAAAAAAGATGAGTTCATGTCCTTTGTAGGGACATGGATGAAATTGGAAATCATCATTCTCAGTAAACTAACGCAAGGACAAAAAACTAAACACCGCATGTTCTCACTCATAGGTGGGAGATGACCCATGAGAACACATGGACACAGGAAGGGGAACATCACACTCTGGGGACTGTTGTGGGGTGGGGGGAGGGATAGCATTAGGAGATATACCTAATGCTAAATGACAAGTTAATGCGTGCAGCACACCAGCATGGCACGTATATACATATGTAACTAACCTGCACATTGTGCACATGTACCCTAAACTGCAAGTATAATAATAATAATAAAAAAATGAGTTATCAAGCCACAAAGACAGAGAGAAATTTTCAATGGATATTTCTAAGTAAAGAAGCCAGCTTGAAAAGGTCATATACTATACGATTCCAACTTTGTGGCATTCTAGAAAAGGCAAATTGATAGAAACAGTATAAAGATCAGTGGTTGCTAGGAGTTAGCAGGGAGTAAGGAAGCAAAGAAGGGGTCCATGGCTGGGGTACAAAAGGGCTTACCCATTGTAACAACTTGCATCAGTGTGGCACAGTTTTTGCCACTGATGAATCAACTGCAAAACAAAATTCTAGTTTCTGCACAATTATTATTCTTCATTAAAACTACTGTGTGTTATTTATACTGTAAGAGTGGATACATGACATTACGCATTTTTCAAAACTCATAGAACTGTACAACAAAATGTATGCTAATGTAAACTATGTCAATTCATAGTAACATATCAATATCGGTTCATCAGTTGCAAAAAACATAACACACTGACGCAAGTTCATAATAATTGGGGAAGCCATGTGAAGAGGAAGGGGATATGTATGGTAACTCTCTATACTTTCCATTTAATATTTCTGTGAACTTAAAACCTCTTTTAATAATTTTAGAAACTATTAAAAAGTAATTTATTAAAAAATACAGTATCATCTGAGAAATATTCACCAGTTGCCTGACAGTTCCTGTGTTCACCAGCCTGTTAAAAAATGAAAAGAAAATGAATACCCACTAGAGCTAGATTATTCCAGTGGTTTTCCTTAAAATACGTTAAAATGATATAATTCTAAAAATAAATAGCATAATAGCTTAAATATTACAAAGCTTTTCAGAATGTTTGAGAAAATTATGTAAGATAAAGAAAACCTGCCTGAAATTGTTTAACCATTCATGTAATGACTACATAACTTCCAAGACAATTTCAGAAACATCTGAATAAACCTGGAGTGAATTAGAGTCAAGTAATGCTTAAATATATCGATGTTGCTAAATATAATGCATATACATTCTTCCTTGATATTAGAAATAGGTGTAACTATTTTATGTCAGCTCCGTTTCCTACATTAGATGAAAGAGTTGAACCTCAGGGCTTAGCTTGGGCCTTGCACGATTTCTTTTCTAAATCTGTCTTTTCCATACATCTACCATTGTCCTGCCATCTTGGTTGCTTTCATTTTTGATTCCTCAATAAGTACCAACTCTTGCCCTTGACTCTATATTAAAGTAAAATTCTATTTTTAATGAAAACATTCAAATAATATGTACTCCTCTTCTCAGAAGAATGCAAATCTTCATAAACATCCACATGGAGACAGAAATGGCTAAGATCAATAACAGTGTACTTTAAATAGAGGTCATCATCATAGCTCTGAAAACCAAGTAGAGTAATGCTTGAATGTACAAGGTTCCACCTCTGAATCAAGTGATAACATTGGAAAATTAAGTGAGATGGTGTTCCCATTTTAAAGATGCAAACACAGAGGCTTGGAGAGTGCAAGTGAGGAGCTAAAGGTCACCCTGGGCAGTAGTGGTAAGGCTGGGAGCCATCCCCACAGCTACCTCTCTATAGAATTTTGAGCTGATGCTCATAGGAAAAATCACCACAGAGTTATAAAAACACAAGCATCCCCAGGATTAAAAACAAAAACAAAAATAAAACCTTTTCTTAAGGATTCTGATATTTAAAATTATGTTTCAGGTTATACATACACACACACACACACACACACACACACACACACACACACCCCTGTACCCCTACAGTCAGCCCTTCACATCCACGGGTTCTGCCTCTGTAGATTCAAACAAGAATGGACAAAACATATTTGGGAAAAACAAGAATGACTAAGTCTGCACCGAACATGTACAGACATTTTTCTTTTCATTATTCCCTAAGTGATACGGCATAGCAACTGCTTACATAGCTCTTATATTATGTATTATAAGTAATCTAGAGATAATTTAAATTATACTGGAAAATGTGCATAGGTTATATACAAATGTTACACCATTTAATGTCAGGGACTTGGGCATTTGTGGAGCCTTGTATCTGTGGGAGATCCTGGAACCAATCCTCCACAGAGACCGAGAAATGACTCTATATGGAGTCACAACATGAATTATAATTGGATTTTCCCCATTACTCCACAAAATAGAGCTTAATAAATTTACAGGTAAACTTTTAGTGAAGATATGTTAGGTGAGATAGCTGATATGATAAAAGGCAATTAAACAATGTGATCATTAGGGAAATGAAAGCCTGACAGCACGTAAGTTTAGGGTGATGGTGATGGAGCAACAACCCAAGATATGTTTATAATTTCTTGATGTTTAAGGAATTCCCTAGTGGCTTTGGCTAAACATTTGTGTGTGTGTGCATAAAAAGAACACTTTATCAAACAAACAGTATACTAATGACTACATTTTTGAATTATTGTTATTTTATAACACTGATTGATGCCAAGTGCTACAATTAGCTTGGAAATTCTTTTGATGAAACATGATATTTGGAAACCCAGAGTAGCTGGTGTAATTGGAGGGTTGCAGAAATGAGTAGTGACCAGTGACCATGGTCAGCTTCTCTTCAAGAGCTTCCATTTCCTGCAGACATGCACTGTAAGGCTTCACTTGAACATCCTGCCCTAACATAAACTGGACCACTGGAAGAGGACTTCTTGAACCTTAATATGCATACAAATCACTAGACGTTCTCATTAAAATGCAGAGTCTAATTCAATAGGTCTGAGGTGGGGCCTCAGAGTCTGCATCTCTGAAATGTACCCAGGTGGAGCTGACAGAAAAAACACAGGACACCCTGGTGAATTTGAATTTCAGATACTCAATGAAAACTATACAACCTTCTTCCATGTATATCTGAAATTTAAAATTATCCTGTTGTCTTGTGTTTATTTGCTGAACTTGGTCGCTCTATTCCCAAGTTATGTGAATGTTCCTGGACCAGGGCCATACACTGAAAAGCAACCCTCTGGAATTTATCTGACTTCAGAGAACAGGCAGGGGAGCATAAAATGGTGAAGCCACCAGACTTAGTATATTAGAGAGTGATATGGTTGCCTCTGTGTCCCCACCCACATCTCACCTTGAATTGTAATAATTTCCATATGTCATGGGTGGGGGGACCGGATGAAAGGTAATTGAATCAAGGGGGTTGGATTTTCTCATGTTTTTCTCATAATAGTGAATAAGTTTCACGTGATCTGATGGTTTCCTAAAGGGGAGTTTGCCTTATCACGCTCTCTCTTGCCTACTGCAATGTAAGACGTGACTTTTGCCTTCTGCCATGATTGTGAGGCATCCCAGGCCATATGGAACTGTGAGGCCATTAAACCTCTTTTTCTTTAAATTACCCAGTCTTGTGTATGTTTTTATTAGTAACATGAGAACAGACTAACACAGAGTCTTGGGTCAGTATATTAGACAGACATAAAAATAAGTGCATGCTAACCTAGCAATGGATCCACAAAATACATGAGGGAGAATCAAAAAAGACAAACAATTAATTCAACAATTTTGGTCTGATATTTCTTCTTTTATCAGTAACAGGACAATAAGACACAATCATGAACAATAAAGGTATCTGGATCATGAAGCAGCTGAGCTGTGACTCTCTGTATTTACAGTCTTTCTAAATTTTAGGGTGGTTATCATGGTACAGAATATAATATTCTTGAGATTTCCTTAAAAATAAATCTAAGTAAGGACGCAAAAGGCTTAGAAGTAATCATTCCTATCTTTACAGCAAGACCAACTTGGAGATACACTCTTGGACCCATTAGAAAAGGCAGTTTGCAGAAAAAACCACTACCCTGAAATCTGGAGAGAAGGGTAGCTCCAGAGAGCCACGGCTGAGACGTGTGACCTGGAGGAGAAACCCTGGGGGTCCATACAGTGGTCGGAACACTTAATAGTAAATGCGATGAACCACTGGAGTTGCATGAGAGAGGGAATCTCCTGGGGACAGCAGTCTTGGGATGGGGGGCAAACATTTGTGGTCCTTACTTCTGGGAAGCTCATCAAGTTCTCGTGATGAAGATCCAAGATGGAGTCTCTCTTGGCTCTGGCAGAACAAATGCAAGAATAACTTTTGTGACGTACACTTAGCACATTCTCTATGGTAAAGGACCACCAATCAGGGGAGAAGACTTCACCAGAGACTTACCCCAAATGGGGAAAGGGCATTTCTTCCCCCTTCATTCCCCTGTAGCTTTCCTAAAAGAAACTAAGTAACATGTTTGAACATCACAGCCCAGAGACACTGGCCCACCTCCAGCCTGAGATTTAATCACAGGATCATAGAATGCTCCTGTTCCCCACACTTCCCACGCTGGTCATGGCTTACCAGCAGGGCTGAAGGATAATATCTGGCTTATGGCTGAAGGAGCCACAAGATGATATTTCTTTCAGAAGACTCTGAGGAAGAGTTCTAAGCAAAGCCCAAAGACAGCATGGGAACTAGAAATGACACTGGAGGAAGCTGAAGCCACTGGCATTTATAGCTAGAGCAAATATTGAACAGCCAAACTATTAGTCGAATAAGCAAAACCTCGCCTGACTTATATGTTTACCAGTTTCTACTGTCTGGTACATTATATTCATTTTGCAGGAAGAAAATTGCAAAGCATCCTAAAAAACAAGGGAAAAAAAACAGTCTGAAGAGATAAAGCAAATTTCAGAACCATATGTAGAGATGACAGATTTTTCTATTATCCAGCAGGAAATTTAAAATAACAGTGATTAACATGTTAAAGGCTCTAATGAAAAAGAAATGTGCAAGAGAAGATGAGAAATGTAAGAGAAATACAGCCTCTTAGAAACAAACAAAAATCATTGAAATAACCAACATAATTAAGAAAAAAGTGTCTTTAATGGCCTCATCAGTAGGTTGGGTTTTGTGTTAGAAATTTTTAAACAAAAGAGAGCAATGAAATATTTTATGTATTGAAAGGAAAAACAAAAACAAAACCCATCAACTTAGAAGTCTTTATTTAGTGATAGTTACATTCAAAAGTAAAGAAAAAAATAGTTTTTCAAACAAAAACAGAGAATTGATCCCCAGCAGACATGCCCTGTGAGAAAATTTTAACAAATTTTTAAGGGACAAAAAAATGATATCCTCCAGAAATTCATGTCTTCATAAAAGATTACTGCAGAAAGAATATGAAGGTAATTATAATCTGTTAAAAAATTATTACTTCATCAAAAGATAACCATTTGTTTAAAGTAGTAATAGTAGCAATGCATTGGGTGATTATAGCAGATGAGTAAGTGAAATGAATGACACCACCACCACAAGGTACAGCAAAAAAAATTGGGACTACTCTGGACGGCACCTGTACTACCTACCAAGAGGTACGGTGTCATTTGAAAATGGATATAGATTAGTAAAAATAAGTATATTGCAAACTTTAAGGCTATTGCTGAGAAAGAAATATATAAGTATATATAATACAACAATATAAAATAGAATGATATAAGGTTCAGTTAAAACCAAAGAAATCAGATAAAGAGAGGACTAAGGAAAACAACAAAAAATAAATGTAATTAATAAAAAATAGTTACAATCACGGTAGATATCAATACAACTATATCAATGGTCACTTTCAATAGAAATGTCCTAAATTAACCAATGAACAAAGACGTTCAAAGTCGATGAAAACACAAAACCCTGCTATGTTCTGCCTAAAGATATCCATTTTAAATATAAAAACAAAGATAGATTAGAAATAAAATGATAGAGAAAGACCATGCAAACACTTACTAATTTACAACTGGAGTAGCTGAAGTATCTTCAAGAGGAGTTTGGAACAAGTTAAATTATCAGGGATGGAGAGAGGCATAACATAGTGATAAAGGGGTCAATTCTATAAGAAGACATAACAACCCTAAATATGTACCTAAAATAAAAGCATCAAAATACATGAGGTGAAACTGAAAGAACTGAAAGAAAAAAACAGACAAATCCACTGTTATAGTTGGAGGCTTCAACACCATGCCTTCATTAATTGATAGATCAAACAGCCCAAAAACTCAATAAGCATAAAATTGACTTGAGCAGGACTATTCATAGACTTGATCTAATTGACATTTAGAGAATACTCCATCCAAAACCAGAATTCATATTGTTCTCAAGCTCTCAGGGAGCATTCACTAATATATTCTATGTTCTGAGTCATAAAACACATTCTAAAAAATTTAAATTGACAAAAATCATGCAAACTGTTTTCTTAGAACACAATAGAATCAGACTAGCAATCAACAGATAGATAGATGGAAAATCCAAAATATTTGGAGATTAAACAACACATTTCTAACTAACATGTGAATTCAAGAAGTCTCAAGTCCAGGCTGGACTTAAACTCCAGGGCTCCAGCAATCCTCCTATCTCAGCCTAGAAAGTAACCGGTACAGCTTAAATTATGGCTTAAAAATATTTTTAAATAAATGAAATGAAAATACAGCTTATCAAAATTTATAGGATCCAGCACAAACACCACTTAGAAATTTATAGCACTGAATGTGTGAATTAGAAAAAGAAAAAATCTACAATCAATATTACATCTTAGAAAACTAGAGAAAGAAGATAAATTTAAGTTGAAGCAATTATAAGAAAATAAATAGTAAATATTGGGAGAAAAATCAAAGAAACTGAAAACAAAAAAAAAAAAAAGAAAAATAAAAAAAGCTGTTTTTTTTTACAAAGATCAATAAAATTGGTAAATCTGTATTCAAGATAACCAGGAAAAAGGAGACAGACACAAATAAGTAATATTAGAAATGAAAGAGGGACATCACTACTAATCTCATGGATAATAAAAGGGTAATAAGGGAATATTGTGAACAATTCTATACCCTCAAACACGATCATATAGGTGAAATACCAATTCCTTGAAACACACAAACTACCAAAACTCAAGAAGAAACAGATCTGAAATCAGCCTTTATCTATTGCAGAAATTGAAACAATAATTATTTACATTCTCCAAAATAGAATCATACCTGTATGATTTAACTGGTGAAATCTACCACCCATTTAAGGAAGAAATATGACACCAATTCTCCACAATGTCTTTCACCAATCTTGGAGAAAGATTATATGTATATAAGTGTAACAAAATAGTTCATAAAGAAACCCACAGGAATAGAATCAGGTTTACTTCTCTTTGACAAAGAACAAAAGGCAAAGGATACTTTTCAACAAAAGATACTGGAACAACTGTACTTCCATATGCCAAAAAATAGACAAAGATTATAAAGCTTTTACACAAATTAACTCAAAGTGGATCATGGGCCTGAATGTAAAGCAAACAACTATAGAGTATGTATAAAAAAACATAGGAGAAAATCTAGATAGCCTTGGGTTTGGAAGCATGATATATGTAAGAAAAAAATTAATAATTTGCAGTTAATTAAAATTTAAACCTCTGATCTGCAAATTACAGTGTCTCAAAAATGAAAATCAAGCCATAGACTGGGAGAAAAGATTTACAAAATGAATATATAATACTGGACTTGTATCTAAAATATACAATGCTTAAAATTTAATAAGAAAATAAGATTTAAAAAATGGGCAAAAGATCTGAACAGACATCTCATTAGAGATGATACATAGCTGGCAGATAATCATGAGACAATAGTCAATATCACCTTTTATCAGGGAATTGCAAATTTAAGATAATGACACATTTCTGCACATCTATTAGAATGTCTAAAATAAAAAAATATTGACAACACCCCTTAATAGCCAGGATTTAGAGCAATAGTAACTCTCATTCATTTCTAGTGGGAATGCAATATGGTACAACCAAAGTGGAAGGCAGTCTGGCGATTTTTCAAAAAGCTAAACATAACCTTGTCATTCAACCCAGCAATCAAGCTCCTAGGGACTTATTCAATAGATTTGAAAACCTATGCACACACAAAACTTGCATGCATGCAGATGTTTCTAGCAGTTTTAATCAGAATCATTAAGAACGAGAAACAACCAATATACCCTTCAATTGGTCTATGGACAAACTCTTGTACATTTATAAAAGGCAATATTCAGTAATAAAAAGTGAGCTATCAAGCTGTGAAAACACATATATAGCATCTTCAATTACATTACCAATTAAAGTAAGTCAAACTGAAAAGGCTGAATTATTATGTGATTCCCATTATCTGACATTCTGGAAAAGGTAGAGTTTTCATGGGACTGGAAGAGGTGAGGAGGGATACCAATGGGTTCACATATGGGGATTCTTTAAGGCAGTGAAATTCTTCTGCATGATAAGTGCAATGATGGATAGAGGGCATTATGCATTTATTAAAACCCTTATGTCCTTACAGCACACAGTTGATCTTAACATATGCAAATTTTAAAAATATTAGAAGGTAAGAGGATCCTAGAAAGGAAGTCAGAATGTAACAAGAGAATATGTCTCTATTACAAATGTATGAAACGACGTGACAAAGGCAGTGAGGAAAAAGGTGCCCACCTACATTAACTTTGAAAGTGAGTAGAGACTGGTAAGACCAACAGCAAAAAGAACTGTACATAAGCACCCTTATTATGGTTGGCGAAGTGATTTCCTACATGGCTACAGTTAACAATTCCAATATTTCTATACTATATACTGGTATTGAATTACTAATTAAATGCATATGGAAAATAGCAATCTGCTTTCTCACTTTCAGCATGAAAGTTTACAGATAAAGGAGAGGCTAAAATGATCCATGTGATGATGTATCAGAGTTCAAGAGATCATCAGTACAAACTCATCAGTACCAAGTCATCAGTACAAACTTACCTGTATAGATACACATGATTATATATGGAAATATTTATAAATAAGTTTTTATAAAAAGGTTGTAGGTATATGTCATTCCTTTTCTAGAAGCTGAGGGGCCTATGATCAATGATACTCTATTAAAAATGAGTGCACTTAATGACCAGGTCTTGCTTTCAAATATCGGACTCCACTAGACCCAGGGTTCCTTGGATAACTGGCTGGTTCTAGGACTGAAGGGAATTCACAAGATGAATCTAGAGTGTCTTGCAGTGCCAGAAAGGAAGAAATTGCTCAGCAAACACACACATAGTGCCAGTGGTAAGTCAAAGCGACACAAGATCGATGGCAAAGACTTCTAGTAGTCAGGGGGGCAGAATTTAACAACGAAATATATAAAATGGTAGGATTATAACTTAAAGTGTAAAACATATCCAAGAGTCCATACAGGTATAAATAAATGACCCAAGTAATTAATAGTTGAAAATAGAAAAACTCCAAATGAAGTAAGATTCCAAATAACTTTTGTAGCTCCTCTTCCCTCAATGAGATGGAGCACACCTCTCCACTAATGAATGTTTGGGCTGCACATGGTAATTTTCTTCAAAAAGGAATGGTATAGAAACAGGGGAAGAGAAACTTTATAGTAGAAGTAACTGACAGTGCCGTGGCTAGGTGGCCAAGGTCAATGTCAACATTGATAAGTAACATACATAATATGTACCTTTGATTTAAAGAGACAAAAGTGGCAATTTAACTCTGTGATTTTCCTCCCAAATGACCATAACCACAGTCTATGAGGAGGAAAACACCAAACATATCTTAATTTGATGGATTTCTACAATATACCATATCCGCGATTGTCAAATAGTTGAGGTCATCAAAATAGTGAAAGCCTGAGAAAATCCCAAAGGCAAGAGGACCCTAAGGAGATAAGGCAACTAACTGCAGTGTGATGCTTTGGGTGAAATCCCAGAACAGAAGGTATGAGTTAAGCAAGGACTAAGGGTATCTCAATTAAGTATGGACTTTAGTTGAAATCAATGTATTATTATTGGACTACTCATTGGAACAAATGTACCACACCAATGTAAAATGTAACTGTTAAGAAAAACTAGGTGGGGAGTACCTGGGAACTCTCTGTATTATCTGTAACTTTTCTGGAAACCTAAACCTGTTCTAAAATTAAAAAGTTCATTTAAAGAAATAACCCCAAATATATTTTTTCCTGTGAAAATCAAGACTAACTGGTAAAAGGTAAACATTGACTTTTTCAAATCCTTCTTCCACATTTGAGAATCGTATTGAGGGAAGCAAGTAAATCATTCTCTCTCTCTACGCTTTCTGTTAGGTTTTCCTTATAATGGCTTCCATAACACCCATGCTGTGATAACCCACATACATAATTACTCGTCAATTAAATTAAGATGCTGAGAATTTTTAACAGCCTTCATCCTCTGATGTGGATTGAATTTATCTTCAAGAATACTTTGGATAAGGCAAAGTCCGTAGAGAGATAAATGCTCAGCAGCTATCTTCTGCTCATGGGATAAAGTCCAGGAGAGCTCCAAGAGCCACAAACCCGGGAGCTCATGCATCCAAACGAACTCCAGCAACTGATGCTCCCAGACTCATTGTCACCAAAGCACAAAAATGAACACTTTTTTGGTTGTATGACCTTAACTGACTGACTGAAATACCGAATGTATACATCTGAATCATCATTTCAAACCACCAGGAAGTTTATACAGCTCTCTGGCCTACATGTGTCTGCTGCCCAGGATGCCTTGCTCTTGCTATTTCTTGACTGAAATGTATTTGTGTGGAGTGTTCACCTGATGAACACCTGATGCCCTGGGAAGTCAGCTCCGTAGGAATGCTGGCTCCCACCTTTGTCCCACACCACTCTTCACAGACTGTTATCTTAGCACCTACCATGATTAATTTCATGGACATCCTCGATAACCTCCCCTACTAGTCATATGTTTATAAAGGTCAAATAATTTTACGTATTATTTTATCTACACTGTCTAATATATGACATGTAAGCAACCCTAACATATATATTGGCTAAATTAATGAAGGAAATAAAGAATACTTGTGCTTATATTTGTACTTATTTTTCTGTTTTCTGTCTATTCAAATATTCTTGAGAATAGAATAATGAAAGTGTTATCCATTCCATACATCACTTTTTTGTGTGATAGGGTCTTGCTGTGTGGAATGCAGTGCTGTGAATACAGCTCACTTCAATCTTGAGCTCCTGGACTCAAGCAATTCTCCTGCCTCGGCCTCCAAAGTAGCTAGAACTATAGGTGTGCACCACCACATATGGCTAATTAAAAAAAATTGGTAGAGATGGGGGTCTTGCTATGTTACCCAGGCTGGTTTGGAACTCTTGGCCTTAAGCCATCTTCTTGCCTCAGTCTCCCAAAGCACAGGGATCACAAGCATGAGCCACCACATGGCCCGGTACACCAATTTTAACAGAAAGAGGATGAGCTGATTTTTATTTTAGCCCTTATGCTAATTTTGCTTAGCATGTATATATGTCCAACACATGCATGCACACAGACACACCACAACCTAGCAATAAACAAAATGAATGTACCTTAGTGCTTAACATGTTCACAAACATTTTCAATAGTTTCAGAAGGATGGCAATAGCACCTATCTTCTCGGGTCGATTTACTTACAAATGCATTCATTATAGAAAGAAAATGATTCTGTCATATTCAATCTGTAGATTCTGTAAATATAGACATGTAAATTTTGAGGAATGCATTGATTTCAATAAGCTTCTATGAGAACCAATAATTTGGATGTCTCATGGAGCTCATTAAATGTAACGTCTGCACACTTCAAATCTCATTCTCACAAAGCTTCAGCCATAAAAACTCCTAAACCAAGGGAAAATATTTTTTATAAATGTTCCATTTATTTCAAATAATATTTGACTTAAAAAGCTACAATTTGTTAGAAGAATTTTGACATTTAGTTTTTCTCATAATGTAATTGCATCTGTTTGTCCAACATTTTATTACTTAGTAGGATTTTAAAATAGATTTTGTACAGTGTACCTATTGCATTCCACTAGAATTTTTAAAATATGTGCAATCAAACCTAGTTAATTTTCCTTGAAAATGTATAAGTTTTAAATATACCAATTATCAAAAACACATCATTAAATTTGAACAGTAATACAATTTCCTGACGTAAACGTCTTTTAAAGGCTAAGTGACTAGCTGTAAATGTTAAGTCAAAACAGAAATAAAAATGAGAATTAATCTTTTACTGCATTTTAAAAGGACATCTTTCATGAAGTTTTAGATAATAAGCTATCTTCTTATCAGTCTCTGGAATGATTAACTTTGAGTTTTATATACTTTTGGTTCGGCAACATATTCGAAATAATTTTAAAAGTTATGATATATTTTTAAGTAGCAATAATTTTAATGTGTAGTCCATCAAATCTGTCAACATGAATTAAGCAAGAGCTACACCAACCTACTGTGATATATCATGTTACATTTTGCGATATGTATCAATATTGATAATATCAATATCAAAGAGTTATGTAAGATTTTCAGAAATTAACTGCAAGTGCAAAAGGCAATCCAAGTGAAGACACCGCTTGGACTATGATTTGACAAAGCTACAGTGACTGCACAGGAACAGAGCTTCTCAGTTAACGACTCAAGAGTGGCTAAGAACGCCATGTGGGTACCACCCAAAGGTGGACCATCCTTCAATTTCAAACAGTAAAGGAAGTATCCAGCCACAAAGATCTTCTAGCACTGAAGCAAGAATTACAATAAGCAACTAACATCAGAAACAAGTGTGATCATGATTTTCAATGTGAGGTTTGGGTCTTCAGCCACCAACCACACTCCATGAGCCTCAAGTAGGAATAATTCCACAACCACAGTTGACCGGGAAGAATTGCTTTCAAGTATCAATGTCCTAAAACTTCCTGAAGCTCCATTAAAACTTCAAATGTAACTGACACTTACGTGCAAAGATGTGTGTAACTTGTATAACAATCCTTTTTCTTAAAGTTTAAGGATAGAACAATTTTTTAAAAAATCCTCTACACAAGTTAACAATATAATGATGCAAATGATGAGTAAGAAAGTCTGGTTACCAAAAAAGTTAAGTACAGTAATTCCTGTAAAGTCCCTTCAGTACAGAAATTTCCTTAAAAATATGAATATGGGTGCATTCTTATGTAAGTCTGAAATGATATACCTCATAGGTATTAAGTTATCATTATTAGTTGTGAAAATTAATATTGATTTCATTTCCATAGTTTTGCTTAACTGTATCTTGTTTATATTTATTCATATAAAATTATATTTTAAATGATTAAAATCTTATATAAAAAAATTAAAGAAGACTATTTTTACATCATTCAAAGGACCCACTAGAATTACTTTAAAGATCTTCTTTGACATATTAAAATTATATTTTGATACCTAATATTTGAATTACATAAGATTCCTCCAGAGAAGATGGATTGAGGCTAGATTTTGTGGGTGAATACGTCTCTTACATAATTGAAGATTCACAATTTAAAGGTCAAATTATTTGCCACTCGGATGGAAATCTCTTTAAATCTAATAGTACTAGCCCCTTATCTGTCATCCAATTTATTAAAAAATGGACACTTTGTTCTCATTGTGGATATTGCTCTCTTGCATTATAATATGAAGACACTTAAAGCCAAGTATGGAGACTGTATCTGGCACTGGTTAATGCTACTGCACTAAGTGGCTCCTAAATGAAAGAGATTTTGCTGTCTGCCCAGTCTACTTCCTTTACAGGCTTATTGAGCCATCTCCCCATATCCTGCACCTGCTTAGGGCATCTGGGTCCTAGCGGTAGGTACACTGGCTGTTTCAAAGTATGAGTGGCCAAAAGATTTTAGAATAATTTATGCCAAAATGATAGCATACAACTGTCACAAGAACTGCCAGAAATGATGCAGGCACACAAATATCTGACTCACACAGACACAGAAAAAGAAACTCACCGCTTTCTCTCCAAACATTTAGAGGAGGACTCATTTTTCATACTGAAGACTCAGAGCAGAGTATCCAATCACCTCTATGTTGCGTGTGTGAGAGTGAGTTACCCACTCAAACTGCTGAGGATATCTATTCTAATTTTCTGCAGGGCCCCACAGTTTTGCTAAACACAAGACCTCATAGCTCTCAATTCCAGGAGAGAAGGAAGGCATGGTAACTTAAAGACAATTTACTAACCAAGAAAACCTATGCATGCACGCAGCACAGATACCAACAAAACCTCCACAGAGGTTCAATCAGCACAAAGGTCTCTCTGATCTCAAGTATGTGACCACCTCATACCTACCACTGATGCTCAAAACTAATTGGTTAATAATGATAATCCGTTATCAACATTTTCCCAACTCTCCATAGTAATAAAGTACAAAATCCAATGAATAAAATCAAATTTACAGAACTTCTGGTACCATTTTGCGTCAAATAGCAACCATCATGTATTTACAAACTAATCAGGAGGATGAATTTGGATGTGGGAGATGAGTTTCTCCTCCTTCCTTTTGTGGATGGAATCATGGTTCACAAAATGTAGAGACTGGTAAGGGCAGTAGAAACATTAAAAAAAATTGTTGTTAGCCACAAGGCCCTTGAAAAGTTTAGAGTTAGGCACATTTCAGAGTAATTTTGAACATTAATTAAAATCTTTGTCATAAAAAAACCTTTAAAACTGCATTAATTTGATATTCAGTGTGTAAGTGGATACCTAGTGGAAGGGTTCGGTTTTAGTAGAAAATTTTTGAAATATATTGGTGAACAAGGATAGGACTCAGTTCTGCCCAGCAGCAACACAGCACGTTCAACTTTTCCTTCCATAATCAAAACATTTATTCCGTGCAGGCTGTGCTCACACTGACACAGCTATGAAAGAGATGTCTTCAGAATGCTTACTGTAAGCCTCTAAATCCTTCTTAATGTCTGATTTCTATCACGAGCTAAAAGTTTAATTACTTACAGAAAATAGAAGATGAAAAACCTTTTTGAAGATTAAAACCCCTCTTTTTTTTCTTGCCCTCCTACCTGGCCTTTAGCATTATGAATTGATGATTTTATCCGTATAGCCAATGTTAAGTTAAAACTGGAAGGCAAATGTGCCCTAGTGGGACAAAGTTCTAGTTTTTTCTCTATTGTTTTCGTGTTGGATTCAGTTAACCATCTACTTCTACTCTCAACAGTGCTCTGGTTTGAGTGATTCGATGGTTACTTAATGTATAGGGTAAGAGTCTTAGATATATTTGGTAAAAGCTTAATAAAAATACTTAAACTTACCAAACCTTCAAGGCTACTATCCATCAGATTAAGATTCTTACTAGTTTAGGTGAAAAATGATACCACAGCAAAATCAGAAGCTTTATTAACAGAGAAAGCAGCACAGTTTTCTCTTCTCCAGCAAGCTGGTTCGCATTAACAAGAGACCTCTCTGTTTGCTTATATGGTAAATGCAGATTAAACTAAAATCTGCAAAGGAGTTTGCATATTTAATATGTAAGGATTCTAGAGATCCTTTTGAGATGACCTTAGCCTGGGAAAACCTGTGACAGAATGTCAGCTAGATTGAGATTTTTTTTCTCTTCCAGAATAAGATTTTGGGTGCATTCCAGAAATATTGCTATATAATCTGTAAATGTTGATTCAGAGAAACGAATACTTCCTGTGTTAGGAGGTGGCCTAGTTAAATCAGGCTTCATTGACTATAATCTGAGGCTTTAGGGGAGAACGTCACTCATTGTCTTGACTGATTTAAAATGGTGACTGACTGCATTGTCCTACTTATCAACTTCCTCATTCTGAAGGAAATTATGTCTAGGTTGTTTAACAAAACTACACAAAATTTCTGTTGGAATACTATGCAGTCATAAAAGGAATAAGATGTCCTTTGCAGGGACATGGAAGAAGCTGGAAGCCATTATCCACAGGAACAGAAAACCAAACACTGCATGTTCTCACTTATAAGTGGGAGCTGAACAATGATAACACATGGACACAGGGAGGGGAACAACACACACCGGGGCTTGTTGGGGGGTGGGAGAAGGGAGAACATTAGGATAAATAGCTACTGCATGCTGGGATTCATATCTAGGCGATGGGTTGATAGGTGCAGCCAACCACCATGGCACGCTTTTACCTATGTTACAAACCTGTACATCCTGCCCACATACCCCAGAACTTAAATTTCTTTTTAAAAAGAGAGATGTTCTGGTGTGGTCCTCATAGGTGGAATTTCTGCATTGTTAAGGTACATACATAATGACACGCAGTAGACTACTCTCTGAAATATTCATGTGTGTTTAAATAAAAACACATATCATTTTCCTCGGGCTGCCGTAACAAAATATGAAAAACTGAGTGGTTTAAATAACAGAAGCTTGTTGCCCCATAGTCCTGAATGCTAGACATACAAGATGAAGGTGTTGGCCAGGCCAGGGTCCCTCTGACTTTGGGAGGGAATCTTCCTGTGGCTCATGATAGCCTCTGGTGTTAGCCAGCAACCCTTGGCATTTCTTGGCTTGTAGATGCGTCCGTCCGGTCACATGCCCAGCTTCTCCCTGTGTCTTCACATCATCTTCCCTCTATGCGTTATATATTTCCAGATTTCTGCTTTTTATAGACACCAGTCATATTGGACCACTGCTCATTCTAATCCTCTCATCTTAATTCGATAACAGTTAGCAATACAGGAAACTTCTCTTCCTCAAAATCCACACCACTACTAGTTATTTTCTGGCACATTTTTTTTTAATCTTGTGGGTGTCTCATTTTTCTTTTAGCTCTTTTTTATTGCAGTTGAATATCTCTCCAATGACATCCTAGACATCACAACTTTCTATGGAGTTTTCTGGCAACTTTTGATTAACAGTGCTCCTTATAGATTCCAGATATTAATTTATTGTTGACATCCGTTATTGCAAATCTCTTCTCCCAATCAATTACCTCCATCTTACCTTTGTACACAAAGCCTATTGTTGAACAAAAATGCTTAATTTTGCTGTATTTAACTCCAATGATGTATTCACCTATGTTTTAAGATTTTTTAAGGCTAAGAAATTTGCCTTTACCAAACGGTTATAAAGACATATTTTTTAAATTTTGTCCTCTTAGTTTCAGTTTTAATGTTTTAGTCACCAGTTTGTTGAGATTTATTCTGAGCAGATATGATGTAGAGATTCAAGATTAAAATGTGCTTTAATGAGCTAGTTTCCCAGTAGCACCTACCATGGCACTTGTCATTTCTTCAACGGTTTGGGCTGCCATCCATTTCAGAGAACAAGTCCTCCTACATCCAGTCTCTTTCTTAGAACTTCCATTTCATTCCATTAACTTGTCTGTTTCTGTAATTTACTATACACTTTGTTTTTCTCACAGCATTTTATGTATCAATATTTGGTAGAGGAATTTTAGCTCCCTTGACCCTATTTTTCAAATATTCTTACGTATTTTAAGAAGCAGATTGTAGAAAAATATAAATTGTAGGATCATATGGATATGAAGGTCATTTTTCAACTCACCGAGAAAAACACACTGCAGAAATTTTCATGGCAATTTCATTGAAAAATTATTGTGAATAAAACTGCCCTTATCATCTTTTTAACAGAATTTTAATTTTCCCCATAAATTTCTAGTGGATGCTCCGTGAAGTCAACTTCTAGCTATTTTTGTGGCTTTTGGTTATTTACTTTCTAATGCATTGTTTAGGATGTTAGTGATAGGTCGTTTTGTAAATTAATCACATATCTTTAAATTTTGCCAAATTATTCTTAGGTTTGTAATAGCTTATCTCTTAATATTCTGCTAATTATATGAAATTTCCAAACCAGATAATTATATGCTGTGCAAATTATGAAATATATACCTATATTCTTTTTGCTTTTAAAAACATTTGTGTGCCTTATTGCTCTGCCTAGAACTTACTGTTCTACATTGAATATTCTCTTCTTGTCTTTACTCTTAGACATATCTGTGACTTGTTATTGAAAATTTCATGACAATACTGAGTATAAAACTTCTACATCACATATGCTCTTTGCTGTTGGATAGTCCGGTGGTCTACATAATTTTTTTTTTTTTTCTTTTGACATGGAGTCTCACCCTCTTGCCCTGGCTAGAGTGCAATGGCACGATCTTGGCTCACTGCAACCTCCACCTCCCAGGTTCAAGCGATTAATTATCCTGCCTCAACCTCCCGAGTAGCTGGGATTACAGGCGCCTGATACCACACTTGGCTAATTTTTTCTATCTTTAATAGAGATGGGGTTTTACCATGTTGCCCAGGCTGGTCTCAAACTCCTGACCTCATCATCCACCCACCCTGGCCTCCCAAGTGCTGGAATTACAGGTGTGAGCCACCACACCCAGCCTACAAAATATTAAACAGGCTTTTATTTTTAATTTTTGAGAATTTCTCAGAGTTAATTTCTGAGAAATTTATTTTTAATTTCAGGGGAACTCTCTTAATTTCTGAGAATCAATGGGCAAACTGTATCATTCTTTTTAGCACGTACCAAGAAAGTGGTATCATTTTAAAAAAATTAATGTGGTAAATTGTATTATAGTATTTTCTCATTTCTAATTAATTTCACTTAGTTATTTTAGTCATCTTTTATAATCATGTAGCCTATATTTTAAATAAATTTGAGTCACTTATAAGCATTATTATTGCCATAAATTACTTTTGCTTTTTTTTAGTACTCAAATTCCATGAAAAGGAAGAATAAAGACTACCAATAACAGTGAGATCTCAACAGATTATTATGGTCTTATTATTTCTTAAACTCTTTTCTAAATCATCTTTCCTTTCAGTGATGAGCTATTGTAGTTTCTAAAATTATTAAATTTTTCCACTGGACAAATATGAGCTTCTTAATAGAATGGTAGCTCAGTCCCAAACGCTTAGGAAAAGGACTTACACTCAGTTTCTAAGTCCTCACTAATGTTGTGAATATTTGCCTCTTCACCCCAATCCTGAGGACATCTCAAACAAATAATTGTTTGCCAAAAGGCAATTGGAAAATTGTGACTTCTAAATTGGCTATTTCTATGCAAAGTGTTTTGGCCTTTTTAGGAGGTGCTGAATTAGGACTTTCTAATTAACTTCAATTTGCAAATCATAGTTGACTAATTTGCAAATTCTATGTATTAATGTGAGTCAAGAATAGTTAATATTAAGTGTTGTCTAATCAAGTTACAAAAATAATAGAATCATCAGTTTAGTGTTTATTAATACAAAGAACACTTGGAACACAGTGTGGTCTCTGAACAAAACAATAAATGAGCACATTCATGCATACCAAAGAAGAAACAGAAAATCCAAACTCTCATCTGAATAAATTGCTGTTAGGAAACCGTTTTAAGCCTGATAAAAGTCCTATACAGGTTCACATAGTAACAGTGACATTCTGTAGCCATTTTTACAATATTTTAGCTCAACTTTCTCATAACAGCCTATAATACTTTCATCTCTATTATCAAAATGCCTACGATGTGTTTTTCATTTGACACATTTTATACATTTAAACAGCAAAATTTTCTAGGGTGTGTTAGTCCATTCTCATGCTGCTATAAAGAACTGCCCGAGACTAAGTAATTCATAACGAAAAAAGGTTTAATTGACTCATAGTTCTGCATGGCTGGAGAAGCCTCAGGGAACTTACAAACATGGTAGAAGGCACCTCTTCACAGGGCAGCAGGAGAGAGAATGAGTGCCCAGCAAAGGGGGAAAGCCCTTTATAAAACCATCAGATCCCATGAGAACTCATCCAGTATCATGAGAACAGCATGGGGGGACCCCCACCATGATATAATCCCCTCCCATGAGGTCCCTCCCCCAACACATGGGGATTACAATTCATATTACAATTTAACATGAGATTTGGGTGGGCACACACAGTCGGACCATAGGGAAATAAGTAGGATTATCCATTCACTCAACATTTATTTATTGGATGAGTAATGTATTAATATCTTCTAGTTACAGTGTTAGGAATTTGAGAGTATACAATATTTGTGAAATTTTGCTCTGTGTTTTTAGTGTGTTTATCACCTCCACTGGATTGTAAAATCTTTGAAGACTGAGGCTCTATTTTGTCCTTTGTCTTACTCTCTTGGATATATTCAAGATCTGGCACAACTTTGCAATAAGATAAGGGCACAACAAATGCATATTGAAAAGATAATGAATGAAAGAATAGAAGATGTATTAAGATACAGTTGGATGAGAACCCAGGTGACATTGTAGTGAGGAATTTGGCGGAAAAAAGGTAAACTGAAAAATGAGTAAGCTATAAACTATATATATGGAGAGGAAAATAGAAAACACACTTTTAATCAGATTTCAAATTTCCCTGACTAAATTACAGTTCCTTAATTCTGAGGTTGCAAAAACTACCCGATCTGTCTACTAATGTATAATCCAAATAGATGTCTGAGGTTACAACAATATTAACTTTATCAGAGTTTAGTGTACAATGTTGAATTTTTGGAAACCACTGAATTTTCAATATTTAATATTCATGAGGATTTTAATTAGTTTGAAAGCTGGCCAGTGCGTCAAGATCACTAAAACTACACTCCATTCTGAATTAAGAATTTTGCACTTTCATTAAAATTAGGGGTTGGAGAGAAACTGTTTTTAATTAAAGAGCAAAAACTATCAATACCCATTTTTAAACAAGAAATCTTTAGAAGTTATGGAAAACTCTACTCTAGAAACCTTTTTCAGAAACAATGACAGAGGTATAGCAAATTGTACACTTAGTTTCAACAGCACCATCTGTTGGGGAGCTGAAACAATGTCAGCCATCAGAGTTAGGTGGGTATAATCATTTTGCTAATTGTTTACTAATTAAAAAATAAAGATTGTAAAAAAGTCTTTAGGAATTAACATGCATCACCTAATTTGAAGCCATGGCAATCAGTTCAACTATTCTAACCAGTGTTAGGTTGAGAGAAAATCATCAGGAAAGATACAATGAATTGAAGGAGGTATATTGATTATAAGGACAATTGTGCTTTCAAGGGCTAACCTCGTTGTCCCTGAAAACAGTCGGACTTCAGATTCAGTGCATTAGCACTCCCACAACCCTGATGGCTGCCTTCTCTGGGTCTAGATACCAGGAATGGCACCCAAAAGAAATACATGGACCTCAGAATTCAAAGTACTGTACTAAAAATGTACTGTTTCTTTTAGCCTACTTACTGAATTTACTTTCTTGGTCAATTTTCTTTGAGCTTCAGCTCTTCTCCATGTGTCCTCATTAAATGAGGCACTAAGAATTAGATAATATTCTGGGTATTTCATCAATTTAATTTAAGGTTGTAATGAATTTTGGCCATGATGTCAAAAGCTTCTACCGTTTTTTGACATGCAAATTGATAGCCAAAAATATCTTATCCAAGAATTGTAAGGTTGATTTTTATTAAACAGTTGTATATTTATCATTGTTAAGAGATTTCTTAAATTCACTTTCAATCAATGAATTAACTGTGGGTTACTGATGCTATCTTATTGAAGTATGCATCCTTATATGCCATTAATAATAGTATGAAAAAGAACAGATATATTGTTTAGTAATACATGTAGAGAATTCTAAGTTGCTACTACCAATTAATTTTTTGGCTGTTTTGAGTTACTAAAACCTATTAAAAGTTTAAACATGCTATATCCAGCCAGGAAGGGGCAAAAGACAGCTTCCAATGCAGATCTCAGAGGGAGTGTGGCCCTGCTGACACCTTGATCTCAGGCTTCTACCCTCCAGAATGAGGACAATAAATTTCTGTTTGCCACTCAGTTTGCAGTACTTTGTTGCAACATCCCTAGGAGTTAATGCATCCGTGAAGCCTAAGAAGTATATTTCTTATGTTTTAAAATTGTGACTAATTCCAGTTTCTTTATGACCACAATTACAACTGTTGCTGCTTTACTATAAAGAAAATGTTCGTGTAATGCATTTTAATAGGTGTTAAATCAGTTAATCCTCATAATAGCCCAATTGGGGAAAGACTCACACCTCAATTGACAGGGAAGAAAATGGTAGATGGGTTTAAAATGTCTCAAATTACCGTAGTAGTAAGTGACAGACCGAATTTAAATATGGGCCATCTGTATAAAAATACATATTCCTCATCATTAGATTAAAAGGTTTATAACAAATTTGCCAGATCCAATTCAATAATAAAATCAATAGTTTTACAATGCAATGACACTAAATAGCTTCAAAAGACAAAATGAAGATGATATTCTAACAGAAAACAAATACACATAACTAAAAGTCTAAAAGATACAGATCTATGTCAAAAATTTATAAAATTTAATTGAGACAATACATAATCTGGATAATTGGAGTGGTATCCAGTTTTCCTCAATAACCAGCAATTTGATTAACAAGTTATTTTAGAATTTTCAGGGAATGAAACTTTAAAATTAGCTGAGATAATTTTCAACATAAAAGGCAGTCACTTAGAACCTATATTACACTCACGTAAAATTATAAAATCTTACCAGAAATCTAGTAAACTTATGGCAGCTTTGTGCTTCTATAGGAATATGTGAATCAATGAACAAAAAGAAAGTTCATAAAGAGATATAAACATGTTTAAGAACTCACTATCTGAAAGTTTGCGTTTCAATTCATTGAAGAAATAAAAATGTACTCAGGAGATGTTTGAGGACTTCAAACCATACATCCTAAATTCCAAAGGGATAAAATGTGTACATATAAGAAAGGAAACTTTATCATTAAGGAAAAAATATAGGAATTTTGTCTAATCTAGAATTCTGAAGCCTCTGTGACTATGAAACTAAAGTCAGAAGGTAAATATAATACATGTAAACAAGAATAAAGATTATGATGCACGTTTAAAATGTCTCTAGGAATCCACGTATATTTTCCCACTCGATTGAAGAATATAAAGAAAATTAGATTGTCACAAATTAATCCTAGAGACCCTATTGTGTCTTGAAGCAATGTCTTTGATTTTTTAAATATTTACAGGCAACAAGTTAAATATTTTACTAGAATATGAGTTCAATAAATGTATGTATTTGTGATGGCAAATATTTAAATTCAGAGTACTATAAGAAACTAGATAACTTTTCAAAAGTTTATGTGACTGATTCAAAAACAGCAACTCACAAATGAAACAATAGAGGTTTCCATATGAGCTTACAGAATCAGCATCCAAGTTTCTGCAACCCAGGGTACTTAACTATGTTCTTTGAAGCATGCTATCAAAAGGGCAGTCACTGCTTTAATTTATGAAGGTTTTCCAGACTTATTTTGCCCTTCAATTACCAACCACCTGGTTCCTGCTGGCCTTTGTGAAAATTAGCTCAGAATCAAATGAAATCTCTGAAGAAATCTTTATAAGTACATTTGCCTGTTGCCAACAGCAAGCTTGGGCCACAGCGAAGCCATGAAAAGGTGAAGAGCACAAGCTGAGTGAAGCATCTCAGCTCTGCGATATTATGGAATTTTGATCAAGGTTCATTTGCACTATCCTGGGCAAAGCCAGATCGAGGCTTCTTCCTACTCAACTGGTTTCATTCAGTGGACTTCATAGGTGGGGTATCTCAGGCCCTGTCTTTTTTTTTTTTTTTTTTAACCAATTCTAATTTACGACCCCTAATTAAAGCTTTTCCACAAAGTATGCAACAACTGGACGTGTCTCACGGGGCTTACCTCTCAGAGCAAACGCTTTACTTCCCACATGGTATTACTTATTTATTCTCACATATTGCATTCCAGTTCTATTGCTGGTGTAGTGTCTGTTTTTCTCAAATAAAAGTCATTTGAGGACATAGATCAAACCTTGTATTTATTCTGTATCTCTGGAGAATACTAACAATGAAAAAACTAAACCTAAAAACGATTCTTGGGAATGAAAAGAGCAAAGTGAATCAACAATTCAGTGACTGGCCGAAACCAGAACACGCTATTTGGGTCATGATAGTCTTTTCTGGGCTTATTAAATGAAGACAGAGATAAAACAGTCGAAAGTTTCATTGGCTTATGATGAGGGAGCAGGCATTACCTGATTGTATCTTCCATGGGTAACCATGGGAATATGCATCATTCCAGCCTCTATGAGCTGAGTGTAGTGAAAGGTCTGTTGATGGCTTCCTAGCTACTACATTTATGTCACCACAGTTCAGAAATGAGTGATTTTTAAATAACTAATTTGGAAGCTATTTAAATCCTACCAGTTGCCACAGCTGAAAAACTGTGAGAGAAAGTGATGTGAATATGCAGGAAGGGCATTGACTGTGGCCCATGAGTGAAGGCCCTGAGCATTCCGAGTGGAATATGGGTGGATTTCCAGTCTCACTTGCTTTGCTATAGTTAAGTAGGCAGACAAGAAAAGCAGAAAACAAGGTGATTTGGAAATCAGGGTGAATGCTTCATGGAGACATCCTGAAAACCATAAGATCCTAATGACTGTCAGAAAGGACTCATGGCCGGACACCTTATACTAAAAGCAGACACGCTGGGATATTGACACCAAAAGCAAGAGTAGAGAAAAAAGAATGAAAGCAGTCACCAGAAGTGAATGTTTAGACGCTAGTTTGGGTCATGTTTTTCCCTTTATCATCCTCTCTCTGGTTTTTCATTCTAATCAAATACTCACCCCCTCACGAGCCACAGTGAGTGAGTGCCAGTCCCTTGCCCACATGGGCAATTCTGTGGGTACACTCTTACCTTGCAAATGGATTGATATTGACACACTTCTCCAGAGGTTTTTTCTGATTTCCACCAGGGAAAAGAGAATACCCCTTCGTGTCTAGCATGTTTTGCAACCCTCTTTTGCCATCACTAGTTATCTTAAAGCTTTGGGAAATGAAAATAATCTCTTCTTAATCAAAAGATGGAGAATGCCTGCCAGAGGCTGCCGACCCCTCCGATATAAGAAAGAACTTCCTGGCAGGGAAGGTTGTTAAATGTCAAAATGATTTAGCAAAGAAGGCTGTGGAATCAGCTCCCGTGCAAATCCACGATAAATCATATCCCTGCAGAACTGTTGACACCAGATGACTTTTGAACAGGCAGGGTAGACTATTCCTAATGCCAAAAATTAACTAGTGTGAAAAACTGTCAATGGTACAAAGGCAAACATCGGATTTCTTCCAGTTCCGAGCAATGGATTTGTCCCTGCAGTTCTCCACATCCAACATAGAAGAAATAAATGGAGTTAAGCCTCAGCCTGACTTAAGCACATTATAAATGATCCTCCCAGACAAACCACTTTCTTACTCAAAGAGATTATTTTGTCTTTCATGGATCTTGCCCAATTCCTTAGTCTGTGTGGGCTCCAGGAGCCTCTCAAAAGGATGGAAACTCATCTAATTCTGCCAAACCTCTTAAACAGTCTGTAGAAGTAGTTGGCTCCACCATGGGTAAAAGAAAAGGACATTTTTCATTTCTTTAAGACATTGCTTCTTTTCAGTTTTTATGAAATGGAAACAGTTATTAACTCATCATATGATCAACAAGGAGTAAAATGGGGATCCCAGTCCCTTTTCCCTTTGGAAAATAACAGCAAACACACTAGACTCTGGTACCATCCCAGAAGGCTGGCTATCCAAGAAGTTGATAAAACTTGGCAAACAGGTAGATTTCTAGTTCCAAATGACAATTCAAAAACCGCAGTGATGAACTGCAGGGCAGTTGGAAAGATCCTAGCTCCTATGCTCCATTAGACCTAAATCGTATTTTATCTTTCTGCATAACTTTTGTCTTATTTTTTGAAGAATGCATTTATTGAGGGTACTTCAGAGACATCTACCAGCTTCATAGATACCAGGGTTCTTCAAGCTCTAACTTTTCCCCAGCTCTCCTAACCGGAATGTTGAGTACTTCAGAGAAATCTACCAGCTTCATACATACCAGGGTTCTTCAAGCTCTATCTTTTCCCCAGCTCTCCTAACCAGAATGTTGAGCAGGCCCCAGACTTCCTTTCTTATAATATCAAGTCAAATGTAAATGAACCATTTTTTTTTTATTACTTTCTACTGGGAAGTAGCTTAGAATCATGCGTCTCATACAATCTGAAGACACTGGTAGTGGGGAAAAAATAAAAAGTGGTATCCTGAAGGCTTCTATATTATAGAAGGCAATTCTATCGCAGCTTTTGTATATGAGGGTTATGTGAGTTATCTAACATCACATAGTAAGTGACAGAGTCAGACTATGTCATCTTTTTTCTTTCAGTCATAACAGTATATATTAAAGCTCTAAATCATTTCTATTTTATGTGTCCAAAACTTTGGTGTCATATAAACATTTTCTTTCAAGTATCTGCTGAGTGCTTATTAAGAACAGAGAAGTATTCAAGGAAATAGGATGGTTAACCCAAATGTCAAATATACAATTTCTAATCTAATTCATGCTATGTTCTCCTGCCTTTAATCCATGAAGATATTTATAATAAGATATGTATAAGTAATAATTTTTACAGTGGGAGTAACCTTGTCTCATCTAGAGAGTCTCTCTTGTACTGTTTTAAATTTTTAATCTAATTATGTGCTTTTAATTTCTCCTCATTCCTCTGAATTCTGCATTCTTCCAATAAAAGAATCATTGTTTCATTCAAAACATAAAATTGATCATGCCATCCTTTAATTAAAGCTGCCTCTCCATTGCCTACAGCCTAAAATCTAAGTCCCTTGGCACTGACTGCAAGATCCAGCATGATCTGGCCCTAATCTATTTTTACAGACTCATCCCTCATCATTCCCTTGTTTGCAAAACACTACAAGAAACATTTTATACTTCTCTGAACTCACCAATCTATTTAAAGACTCTAGGTACAGTCTAGAAAACTCCAGTATTCACTACCTGGAATAATTTTGTTATGTTCCAAATCAAATGCTATTTTGTGATTTTTTTCTACTTCCTACAAGCAGTGCTTTTTCGTAGCTCTTTTTTGACTTCTTTACAGCATATATTTTTCTCTTTAATACATTTCCCTTATTGAATTATGGACTTAAAATTATGGACTTAAAATAGTGACCTGTGTAATAGTGTATGGACTTAAAATAGTGTAAGATAGTGTGTAGCTGTGTAAAATAGTGTAGCCTGTCTATGTGAATGTGTGCACACATGGGTAGGATGTCAGTGTGTGTATGCACACATGCATGTGTACCTGAGGCACTTAGTGCCAACCGCATGACAGGCCTCAGTCAAGTTCATTGAATGAAACTGTTGACATGTGCCACGTTTTACAGAATTCTATCCAATGTCCATTCACCATTTACCTCTTCCGACTGAAACGTCCTCTTATGTCGGCAACTTCATTAAGGATAATCGCCTTTCTTGCAACTTACTCTTATTTCCCCCACATACATCTACATTTTTTAAGTTGCAATAACCAAAAATATACACAATTTCTGCAATTATATGCATAAGAATAATTTTTATGTTCAAATTGGCAAATCCCCATTTAAAAGCAATGAGAGACTATGCTTAAAAACACGAAATATCAATATGATCTTTAAGAGGAAAAAGATTCTTATCAGAATTTCTCTTTGAAGGTCAGCTTGATGGATAAAGCGATAAAGAACTGATTCAAAACACCCAGGATGATGTGGTGATTTCCAAGGTAGAGAGAAGGGCAAAGAAAGAAATCCCAGAGAGTAATGCTGGCTACCAGGCTCAGGAGAGATCCCACACTACCTTCACGATTCTTGCCTCTGCCCCTGGAAAAATGTTGGGAAATGAACCTTGGGTATCAGGACTTATAGTAGGGTGTTCCCTAGGTTTGAGAACACACAAAAATAAGGAGTTTTTGAAAGTAAAGGCAAAACATCCTTAGATAAGCAGGATGGATCGTCTCCAGATTTAAAGGCCTCAATACGTGAACTCAGTTTAATTTACTTCAACAAGAAACACAGAAGCTACAAAGACAAATGAGATCCATTGTCAACACTCCAGTGATTTATGTCACTGTGGGAGAGCTGCTGTTAAAAATGAGTAGTTTTATAGGATATGCTAAAAATCTGATAATGACCTGCATTTCCATCTCAAAACTAGTTTACTCATTCCTGCAGTAGGAACAGTAAGGCAGAAGCAGTTCCGTGAGGACACCATAAAGGTGCCGTGTGTTTCTGAATGGTGCTTCTAGCTCAATCTGAGTTCCACTGGGAAACTTTTCTTCTCAAAATAATATTAAGCAGATATTAATAAAGCAGGTATAGCTTAAAAATGCTTTAGAAAGCCTGTCTACATCTGTTTATTCACACATGTATCCTCACAAGTGATACTAATTCAGGTCTTTTGGTATGAGATATTACAAAACACTACAAAACATTTTGAACTTTAACTTTCGAAAAACTAATATAAGGCAAAAAGGATAAAAATGCCATCTGTCTACCATCGATGTATCTATCTATGCAATCATGAACCAAACACCCCAAATGACCACAGCACTACTTAGGGGTGTCAGAGCATTTACAAATACATTGTTCCATTTCATTTTATTTTGCTGGTTCACAAAGATTTAAAACTGCAAAACACCAACATAATTTCTGTTTCTGGGCCAGGCGCGGTGGCTCATGCCGCATGTAATCCCAGCACTTTGAGAGGCTGAGGTGGGTGGATCACCTGAGGTCAGGAGTTCAAGACTAGCCTGGTCAACATTGTGAAAAGCCATCTCTACTAAAAATACAAAAATTAGCCAGGCCTAGTGGTGCACACCTGTAATTCCAGCTACTCAGGAGGGCTGAGGCAGTAGAATAGCCTGAATTGGGAGGTGGAAGTTGCAGTGAGCCGAGATCGCATCACTGCACTCCAGCCTGGGCAACAGATGGAGAGTCAAAAAAAAAAAATTCTATGGATGATCAAAGTTTGTTGGCTATCATGATGGGTTGGGATGCTCTCTGTAAGTGACAATCTGCAAAGATGACTAGATTTTATTACTTTTGCTTTAAACTGACTACAAACACTAAAAAGAGAACATGCGTTACATCTAGAATAATTCTGGTACAAAGCTGTGCTTTGTGAACACATACAATAAATAGAAGTATTATGATCACCTAGCTCTTTTATTCTTTATTGCTTATATAATGCATTAACATATATTAAAAATTGATTTCTTTTTATTGAGGATACCTCCAAAACTCTGAAGTAAAGCAAGGCACAGGAGATACAATGTTTATGCAGAAGGTTATCTTGGAGATAAGAAATTTGCCAGGCAGAATGAAAATAGCAGTGATGTAAGAGTTACCTTATAGATAGTGTACACACTTCATGACCTGTCGTGAAATTCTGGTAAATACTGTTTTACTTTCTATTTCAGATGCTTTGAGAGTAAATTCTACAGACGGGACATATAAAAATATCAGAATCCCATTGGAAAAAGCTAGTAAAAGGTAAAATAAGGGGTAAAGAATAGAACAGAAGAATCGTACGTAAGACAGCAAGGGTAAAGATTTTATAAAACAAAAAAAAGTTCTAAGAAAAACAAGTCATAGAGCTATTACTTTTTAAAATTATTGTTGCTTTTAAAGCTTATATAGTGAAATGATGACCACAATCAAGCACACTTACTCATTTCCTTCCATAGTTACATTCAGTGGATGTGCATTACAAACACCTACATTCTACTCTTACCCAATTTTCAGTATACAATACAGTATTATTAACTATAATCCTTATGCCCTCCGCTAAATCCCTGTGTTTATTCGTAAGGATTAGTTAGCTTGCTTTTCTACTTCTCCCGCCGTCCCTTCTTGCCTGTCCCTGCTAACCACCTTTCCATTCTCTGTTTCTACGTATGCTTCTCTTTTCAGATGCATGTCGCTAAGACCGTGTGGTATTTTTCTGTTTCTGGCTTATTTCACTTACATAAAGTCCTTCAGATTCATCCGTGTTGTGGCAAAAGGCAGTAACTTCTATTACCTTTAAGAGACTAGAAGTCACAGCACTGATTACTTTCAGGAAGGAAGGCGATTTACTTTGTGTAAAAAAGGGCTGATGTCATAGATTTTGGCAAAGAGGAAACATCGAAAGGGCTAAGACTGAGTCTTCTATTCATCTCGCCCACTGATATTTACAATGTGCCACGCCTGGGTAGCCAGGAATGCATCTAGCGGCCGAGGATGCAGCAGTGGGATTATCTCTACTCTGATGCAGTTCATATCCTAGGGGGGGAGATAGTTATATTCTCATGATTACGAAGGCATTTGCAAACATAGCTCCTCAATTACAGCAATTCAAACAGCTGAAACTATTCAGACCTTTTTCAAGCTAGGCATCTAAGAAAATCTTTGTTTATAATGACCATGGCCCAAAAAACTAAGAAATTCTAAAAGGTATTGACCGTGTGTATATGGTATATATGTATGCATATGTATAAATATATCTCAGAAGCAGAGGAAAGACTATGTGGTCTGCCACTTCCTCACCCTAGGCCCTTAGGAATTTCTAATCATTTAACTATTTTCTAGTGTGCCTGAACTCAGCCTCAGATGTCTCAGTGTGCTGTGAGCAACCCATGTGATGAAACCAAATTAGTGCCCTAGGTGAGAACCACTGGCCCATTGCCACCTTAAATTCAGATGGAGAGAAAGATTTAAAGAAAACACTCAGCTGCTCAGTTTGCATGGTGATTCCAGCACAGGAAAAAAACAAATTTAAAAACATCTCTTTTGATCTGTGGGGAAGAAAAATAGATCCTACAATGTGTCTAGCAATAGAAGTATTACAAAAATGGAAATAAAACAGCAATAATGTTAACTTTCATTGAGGATTTCTCTATGTTCCCATGTTGTGTTTCATTTGTATCTCTCAATAAACCTGAGTAAATAAGAATACCTACTATTAATCCTATTCACAAATAAATAAAACTAGAGTGATCTTACCACAGCCAGTAAGTGTGGGAGGGGTTTGTAGCTAGTGAGCTTCCGACCTCTATGCTGCAGAAGAGGCTGGCATCTTATGATGCCCTGGAAATAATTTCATAGTACCTGATCTTACTAATATGAGGAAAAAATACTACCTTATTTTATTTCATGCATTATTTTATGTTAGAGTTTTTATAGATTCACTTGTGATATTCCTCAATCTTCCTTAGACCCGTATTCTTTCAATTTATGGTCTACCTTGAACACAGGTTCAAGATCCTAACCCCTAATGTTGAGGTGGGATTACCGTGTTAAGAAGGCATTCTTCAAACCCTCAAAGCCTGTCAGCCTGTTTCAGCAGGATCTAGCAAAGAGGTGTTATCTCATCTTAGACTCACCAAGGTATCAGAATTAAAGACATTCTGTTTAATGTTATTTCAGCTAAGCGTGTTTGGTCTAATATTCACCAACTAATCCTTATTGTACACATAATTTAGTTTATCATGCAATATTTAAAATGGCCAGGAAACCCTAAATTTCACATTCTTTACTGCTATACTTTTTTGTGGATTTGAAAAGCTTGCGAGCTGTTTGCTTGCAACTGATTTATAGAATGCAATCAAATCCAGAACTTCAAAAAAGACTGAAAGGGACTGAGTTTCTGCACCTACAAGGCTGTCAGAAGCTAAATCCTGCTATTTAAAGACATTCCTTCTTCTGCGTGTGCTCTTATAGCCGTTGTTATTCCCTCTCTGTCCTTCCTAGAAAGGTATTTGTTGACTTGTTGAATAAAAAAGCCCCATTGTTCAGTTCTAGGATCTACACAGTATACTAGGTTAACAAAAAATCCTAGCCTACAGCCTGTAACTTATAAATCAACTGAATAGCTAAGCGGCCTAAATGTTTATTTCATTTGACAACAGCACTACTTTTAGAATCTATTATGTGAAAGGAACTCTGCTATGTGTATGATTGGAGTGCATAAACACATTCTAGGAAATACTATTCAAAACCCTCAGCAAAGTTGGAAGCATCATAGTTTTAAACCATTTTATCTTGTGTGTTAACATTTTCCTTAGTTGACTGGGTTAAAATCTAATGGTCATTTATATTAATTGGCAGGTGTAACAAAGTTTGCTCTAATTCATCCTAACTAATGTAAATTCTAAATGTCAAATTATGTTAAATTAAGATTATATGTTTGCCTATATGCGTTCGGGCAGGAAAACAAATCACCAATGTGATTTCTTATTCTGTTTAGATGTATTACTTATGGAATAATTGACAAGGTAGTTTATATAAGATTATTTTCTTGTTCTTCCTAAAAAAGAAATTGCATAATCATCTGACAATCATTTGTCTTTGCTCGTGGTTTCTTCCAAGTCTTAGAAAATCTTCTCCACACTTTTGGGATGACAAATTATTAAACTCTCAATGTCCATGTGAAGTCTCCTCAAACCTGATCATCCTAACAGCACTTCTTATTCAAACTGCATTCGCTACTATTTTCTGTGCCACCAATGACAGGAAATCTTCAAGCGCTCAGTGTTGTCTTGTTGCATACAAATATTTCATGTCTTTCCAGTGATTTAAGTTTGAGGGCAAAGGTTGTAGAAAAGTGAGTGTTTTATATATCATTAAGTACTTAATAAATACTTGACCAATTCATTTAAAATGAGTACCTATACGGATACCCACAGTTTACTTTTATGAATTCTAGGTATTATTAACTGTAAAGAGTTATACCCTTTATTCACTTGCTGAGGTCCACATAATAATTCAGAAGCTTAAAAGGAGCCTGTGAATCTTTAAAACCTTCCATTGCACCTTCAAGATATTTATCTCCCATATAATTGATAATTTGTAATCTGAGGAAAATGGAATAAAATACTTTAAAGTTGAAAAGTTACTTCAAACCAAAGACAACTTCTATCAGTTGCCCATCTTGCTCAGTGGTTAAGTTCTGTCCACACCCCCTCCTTGCAGTCTCCATTCAAGCTATTCTGAGACGGCAGGGCTGTTGACCAAGGACCACAAAGCCATTTCTTTATTCTTATACTGTCTTCCTCCACTTTGTAAGAATCATCTTGCTTACTTTTGTGCCTGTAATTTTGGTTCAATTAAGTGAATTTCAGATCGTTTACAACCTGCCTGTGTTGATACCCAAAGTCCCTCTCTGTGTTCCTGTTTCTATGTCTTCCGCATTCTTCATGAATATTGTCTCTCTTTTCTGTTCCTCAGAATCTACCCTCAGTAATACTCGCACCTGTGAGTAAATATGCCCGTTCATGTGAATTGAATATTAACGTACAGGAATTCTCATGTCCTATACCAGCAATGGGAAATCAATTTCCTATTAATGAAAAAATGGCTCAGTTATTGGTCTGTTTTTATTAAATTCTATTAAAAAAGGAATGACTCAATTATGGTTCAGCAATATCACGGTATACTGTGCAATTGCTGAAAAGAATATGGTTGGTATGCATATACATATATAGAAGTATGTACTTCAAACACGGTAATGTGAACTTATGAATAAAATGACAATACATAGGGTATGATCAAAATTAGGTAAGAAAAATAAAGTGGTGTTGATAGAAATAAAAGGATTGGTAATAGCAAGATAAATATAGCTTTAAGAGTTAGAGGTGGGCTGTTTATATATGATGAAAAGATCTAGAATGACACATAATGGATGTTTGACTTTCTAATTTGGGGACGGTTTTTGGTCAAGACAGTAATGAGAAATAACACCTTTAATTTTTACTTTATATAACATTTATTACTTATCCTTTTTAACAGTAGACCTCTACTACTTTTACTTTTTAATATAAAAGACCAATACCAATAATTTTTTTTTTTTTTTTTTTTTTTTGAGATGGAGTCTCACCCTGTCACCCAGGCTGCAGTGCAGTGGAGCAATCTTGGCTCACTACAACCTCCACCTCTGCCTCCCGGGTTCAAACGATTCTCCCGCTTCAGCCTCCTGAGTAGTTCGGATTACAGGCATGCACCACCAACCCTGGCTAATTTTTTGTATTTTTAGTAGAGACAGGGTTTCTCTAGAGACAGGGTTGACTAGGCTGGTCTCAATCTCCTGACCTCATGATCAGCCTGCCTCAGCCTCCCGAACTGTTGGGATTACAGGCGTGAGCCCCCGCTCCAGGCAGAAACATTAATCTTCTTGAAAGATGTATGCAAATCTCTCAAAATCTCCAGTGGCCTCCTCCTCCTCCTCTTTTTAACTCCACTTTTCAACCACCAGCACTCAATTTAAGTACAAAACTATTCTCATGAATATTTTAAGAAGTGTAGTGACATTTAAACATAATATTTTCCCATTTTTTCTCACTATATATATTCTGTATTTTCTTTGCATCCTTAAGGAGGCTTTTGTTCAATGCTTCTCAGTAACTAAGGTGTCAAATTGAGAAAAGTAAACAAGACTGGATACATTTCTATACTACGAATACCCAGAAACGAACATAAGAAAGCAGCGGCCGGGCACGGTGGCTCATGCTGGTAATCCCAGCACTTTGGGAGGCCGAGGCGGGCAGATCACGAGGTCAAGAGATTGAGACCACCCTGGCCAACATGGTGAAACCCCGTCTCTACTAAAAATATAAAAATTAGCTAGGCATGGTGGCGCATGCCTGTGGTCCCAGCTACTCAGGAGGCTGAGGCAGGAGAATCGTTTGAACCCGGGAGGCGGACGTTGCAGTGAGCCGAGAGTGAGCAGTGATCCCGCCACTGCACTCCAGCCTGGGTGACAGCATGAGACTCCATCTCAAAAAAAAAAAAAAAAAAGTAAGAAAGAAGGAGTGTTTATCTCAGTGTCTTCCTTTTCCAGTCGGCTTCCTCCCGTGCCTGCTTTTCAACAGAGTCATAAGCGGAGCTCGCCATTGCCTAGGGGAGCAGAGTGCTTTGACTTTGTTCTGTCTGTTTTTTCTCAAACAGTTACCATTCAATAGAAAAGCAAAATATGTAGACTTTTATACTATTTTATTAATGCATCAAACAAAAACGGACATAATCTGATTGGAATTGTAGTCAAAGAAAAACAAAAAGTGGATTACTCTAATGACAATTCACCTAAGATGCATTTGGGAAACTCAAGCTGTTTCTGGAAAACCTCTGTAGAGCTTGTCTAGAGCCTTCTATTTGCTAATTAAAAAATAAATTCTGCTGGCAATAAACTTTCTAAAAGAGGAAAATAAACCAGGAAATGCAAAGCTGTTTAAAATGTGAAATACACTTGGAAATCCAGTTTAATGAAGAATCTAATAAAAACCCAAACGCTACGGCCCTGCTTGAAACCAAAATTGGTGCATAATCCTGATGCCTGGTCCCAAAGGTTTCCAATAAAAGCTATGCCTTTGCTTGGTTCTTATAATAAGTCACCATTTTCACTGAATACTCCCGATTCTCCTGAATGGATCTACTGCCCTATGAACTCAGACTGGCCTTTTGCCAGTAAATTCTTCCATCACCTATGAGAAATAAGTTTTTAAAAAGAAAACTTTTATGGAAGTTTTGTGTATGTCCAGCATTTCCTGCTCATTTTTATGATCACTAATTTTATGAGAATTCAGTGATGTCATTTATTCAGTAATCCACCCATTTCCACTCGTCTTTTTACAGCGTCTTTCATTGCTCTAGGACATACTAATGCCTCACCAGACTTTTGCAGTTCCTAACAAGTGGTCTTTCTGTTCTTGTTTTCACATAAATCTTCATGGTAGAACTTCAAACTTATTGCTCCCCGCTGTAAAATTACCCCTGCTTCTCACGCCCCAGCCCACGATCACCTGTGCCACACATTACCACGCTCCACGTTTCATGTACTGTAAGCACCACTTCCATGTACTGCCATCTCCGTACCTTGCTTTCATTCTTTACCCCATTGGAGTATCTTCTGCTGACTTCACAGTTTAAACATATTCATCCTCCATCACCCACTCAAAAGCAACTCAGAAGGACTTCCAATTCCAGGGAAATTCTCTCTCCCTTCTCCTTCCCATCACTTCTTCTGAACTTGTCTAATTAAAATGTTAAACATCCTGTCTTGATTACCATTATTTATCTACATACTTTTTCTTAGCATATAAATTTTCCCAAGTGCAGGATTCATGCCTGCTATATTTTCGAATTCCTGGCCATGCCAAGAAGTGCTCAACAGTTATTGCTCAACTTAAGAAATTAAAAAAAAAGACTGTGTAAATTAACACCTTTAATGTTATAATGGTGCATTTTAAAAGGATGATGTTTTAAGAATCCATAACCCTTTGCCTATGTGGCATCATTCTAATTTGCATATTGTGAGATTGAAATAGAATTATCTGACTTCCCCAAGATTATATGGAAATGGAGCTAATATTTGAATTGTTTTGAAAACAGTTTGTACTGAATCCCTTAAAGCGTAAATTCTGTAATGCATTAATCTGTTGGTGATCCTAAACACATCTCACTGATGTTGCAGTGGCCTCAGATTTCTGAGACAGGCCGATGTTATTTTATCCTTCTGTATGATAGGAGAGACTTCCTCTTTTATTGCCAACAATTCATAACCTTTCATCCACTTATGCTTTTAAAAATATAATTTGGGTCCTGTGCAAATATAGCACACACAGAATGTCCTTCCTAAACTATTCCCCAATATAAATTTAATCATTAAACCATTAAAACCATCGTGTTCTTTCTTCAGTTAAATTAACTTTATCTGTCCCTCTACGGCCCTCTCTCTCTTCTGCCCTTCCTGTCCTTCTCTGTTTTAGAGTTGCCCATTCAGATTAAAATATGCATGACAAGAGTAATACCTTAGTAAGGATTCAACTCAGTGACTCTTACTGAACAAACAATGTTGTAACAGATTCTGCTAACAAAGAGATAAACAAAACAATTTCTGTCCTCATGGGTGATAGGATGTGAAAAGTGTTACAATCAGCCAGCAGAGAAGCATGCTGGGACAGCCATTCATTCTGCCACCCAGGATGTGAGGGAGCTTCTAAGAGGTATTGATAAAGGAACAGGGCCTTCCATTGCTCTTTTCTAGGTGGGCAGCCTATAGGAAAGGGGATTTACAACAGTGGAAAGGAGCAGTAAAAGTGCTGTGGTTAACGCGAATCACATGCCCCCAGAACAGCCTGTGGTAAGTATCCTTTCAATAATTAATCTTCCAGTTCACATTATTCTGGTGCACCAGCTGATCTTGCTGGAGGGCAGTGTGCATATAGAGGAGGAGAATGGCGGGAGAGGAGATGTGATAAATGTAAGAAGGAAGCAGCAGGCATCATGACAAATCTGGACTAGGAAAAAGGAGAGGCTGTCAGGGAATGCAAAGGAGAAGGGGCAGGCAAGACTGGCCCCAGTGACAATGATTTTATTCTCCATCACAAAGGAAGCCAATGACAGCAAATGAAATATAGGAAAAAATTTGTATGGCGATGCTTTGGAACCCCTTAGAAATCTCAGACTTAGTAATGTCAGTTTTTTTATTTGCAATATTTCAAAAACTCTTGGAAGTATTGAAACTTGAATCCCATAGGATATGCCAGTTTTTTTAACCACAATTATTTCAACTATGTGGCTAGACACGTGTATCATTATACATTATTCAATCTTTAAAATGGAGAGATGAATAACTCCTTATTAATCCATCTGCTAAAACAGGAAAAGTTCCTCAGCAGAAAGTTCCTCCAGTGAAGGATAAAAGGTCTTTAATGTCATAAAAGTTGTAGACCATTGATTCAGAGTGTACAGTGAAAAAGATGAAAACCAAGGAAAATGGCAAAGAATAAAAATAAAAAGGCCAGGGAAATACAAGGCTGACTGAGGGAAATAGTGTCTTATAATGACAATTTTTTGGACAAAAAGAAAATGACATTTTCTTTAGTGCCCATGGTGTCCCAAGGCTCTTAGGGCACACTGAGGTTTGTTTCACCAGTTCTATGACCTTGAGCAAGTTCTTTAGGCTCAAAACCTCAGTTCCAGTTCGGCTAAGTGAACACACCAGGCCATCTGCATCCGGGGGACCACAAAACAAGATGACATTTGAAAAGAACCCAGGACCATGATGCAGGCATAATAGAACCTCAGCAAATGCTGGGCCAGAGACTCTGAAGCAGTTGCTAGACAGCCTCCTATCAGGAATGCTGCAGAAAATCTCCATCCACCCATCCCGCATCAAGTGGGACCGAATGAGCTAACAATAAAGGAAATCTACCTGCTAGGGCAGAATAAAATCCTCCATAGACCCCAACCATTGAAAATAATGAGCCACTAAAGTGCTTTGCTTGGAAAGGGGGAAGCCTGTAAGTCTTTCATTTTCATGGACTTTAAACAGAGAGCAATCAAAAAGCAGTAGCTTTGTAAAGTTGCCTCAATCCCGGCTCTTGCCTGCAGGTTTAGCTCCAGCAGCTCTACATATATTGACAATTGTTTTTAAAAATGAGTTTGCAGCCTGGTGCAAAAGGAAGATGGTATGAATAATATTACAGCCAGGGACCTATGGAGAGCAATGCACTTTCGACGGCTTTGTTATTTAACTTCTACCAAAGCATCTCTATTTTCAGGGCTGACAGCTCCATTTCCACAGTCTCTGGCTGTGAGTGGAGAGCACATGAAATTGCTGTGGATGGACACCTTGCTCGCAAGGAAGGCAGCGGCGTGCAGGGGTCCTCACCGGGAGAAGGGTGAGGAGGGGGGATAGATTTGCTGAGAACCCTTTGCTCCTTGCTTACTTTCAAAATAAAACTTAATTCCCTTCTCCCAAATTGCCTTAAAATGTTTACATTTTGAAATTCATATGCACTGAATTTGAAGACATCAACAAGAGCTACTTCCCATCCCTCCTGGCCACCTGTTGTAGCTGTCTCCCTGTCAGGGCCTCATTCAGGAACTGCTTCTCTTTCCTCACAGTTTGAGCCAGAGATGGGCTTGTCAGGAATGGAAATAGAGCTTCCTGCGATGCATGAAAGTAGATGCTGGACTGCACGGATCTCACAGCTTTGCAGAGAGCAATGGCATTCTCTTTCCAAATGCATAAATTAGAACTGCTGCACTAAGTCTGCAAAACTGAGCTCTTGTATTCCAGTACAGCCCAGAGAGCATATTTCTTAAATCACTTAAAGATTCCATAGAATTTAAGGCAGACCTCTCAGTCTTTTGGGAGAAGTGCAGATGATACAGGAATTAGGGTATACATCATCTTTTGTCTCCTTGGCGGGGAAAAGCCACTGCCCCAATGCTGCCCAAGATGTTCTTACTAAATCAGCATGAGTGTGTTCCCACTTCTCCAAAACAAACAAACGAAAAAAACAGACTAAAAATAACTTTCATCCTAGACAGAAGAGAAAATGTCCAGGGTCTCAGTTGTAGAAAAACAAAGGCAGCATGATGCTCTAAAGGGATATGGATAGCAAGCAGGCCAGGTGTACTTCCAGAGCCTTCTACAGCACAGGTGCTCAGCACAGCCAGTCATTTCTGCAAGTCAATGTCACCTGTGCCATGGACATCTTCACAAAGTAATAACAAGAGCTACATTCATGAAACCTTCCTATATTCTTTAAGAACTCGGCATGCATTAACTCAGAGAACCCTTAACCCCTTTCCCATTTGCCTTAAGAAATGAGCACTGGCAGTGAGCTGCACATTTTTTTTTCCTAAATGGGAAATAGGTTAAAACAGTCTGTTGAGGGAAATAGTCGTATTATCCTCATTTTACATACTGAGAGATTATGTAAGAGCCCAGGGTCTCAGGACCCATAAGTGCAGGAGAAGTCTGGCTCTTGGGTCCAGACTCCTCACTTCCAAACTGCATCAATAACATGGATAAAGTCAGGAGTGACAGATGAACTGTGGCAAGGAAATGCAGTCTATAGATTTGATGTCTGTGCTCTCACCAACTGGAACATTATCTTTCTTCATCTTTTAATGCTCAGCATTTAGCACAGTGGCCAGTCAATGGTGGGTGTTGAACAAGCATGTGTTGCATGAATCAATGGGAAGAGGGCCCTTGGTGATAGCACTGTTGATGAAGAGCCAGAATCAGTGAAACATGTGAAAGGCTCCCTACGGACTCTTCACAATCATAGGACACTGTTGGACGAGTACAGAGAATCTCGGCCTACTGGTAGAGTGATTTAAACACCCCCAAAATAATTCAACCAACTCAATGTCAGCTGACTTAACATTGCGGCCCCAAAATACATATCTAATTAGCAAATGACCTAAAATATTTATACACACACACACACAGACACACACAGAGAATACTTCTGTGAGTATTCTGTATGCCCAATAAACAATGCGTGATGTTAAGCTTGCCTATAATCTATATATCTCTATAGCATCTATCTACCTATTATCTATCATCTATATGTCTGTCTACCTAACATCTGTTACCTATCTGTATCATCAATATGCCTACCTGTCTATCATTTATGATCTGTCTGGCTATTTGTGTATCTTTCTGGGGACAGAGAGTAGCAGGTACATTTATTACCATGTGTTGAATCTCCATTGTGCCCTGGGCAGCACATGTTAATACTATTCTATATTAATACTGTGAAAAACAACAGTGAGATATTTAGAAAAATAACTTCATATATCTGAAAATTAGAATATTGGCATTTGGAATTTTTGGCTGGGTGATCGAAAGAAGGTTGACTTGCTTTGGAGCATGTTCTATAAATATGTGTCAAGTGATTAAAGATTATTGTCAATTGGTGAATCTCTTTTCAGGGAAGTATTTTAGTTATTTTAATTTATTATGGCTCAAAATAATGTATAAATCTTCGATACAGGCTGTTATAAACTGTAAGCCAAAATAACATACCTAAGATGTGTCCAGTGGTAAATTACAAATTAATGCTACTAAAAATAAGAAATTAGTCACTAAAAGTCAACTCTCTGTTACTATAGAGTCGACTAAAAATGGAAAGAACACGAGTATCGAATTGTTGGGAAGTGAATACAAATTAGATGACAACTGTTCATGTCCCTCCATTTCCTCTCACATCCAACGAGGGCAGTATTCTTCACTTCTACTTCCCAGAAACAGTAAGGAGATTAATTAGCACCTGTGAAGGTTTTGTACTATCTTGGCTCAGAGAAAAGTAATGGTGCCTTATTCTTCGAGTATTGTTTCATTTGAATCATAAATAGGGAAACTTATTTTTTTAACTAAAAGTATAACTTCTAAAAATTACTGAATTCAAGCAGGATTAAAAAACGACTCTACTGGGTTTTCCACACTATCAAAGACTTCTTTTGTCTTAACTATTACTCTGGAGAATGTCAGATGCAACATGGTTTCCTTTTTGTACAAAGGGAAAACATACTGAAGCATGATTTTAAAAGAATTTCAGAAGGAGCTGTAAAACAAAGTCACATCGAACATTGAGCACTGATATTATTCTTTAGAGAGTTGATGTCTAGGCTAATGCACTGTGACCCGAGGATTTGTTTTCAAGTTAGGGCAATGGTTCTCAAACTTTAACAATAGGACATTTCAAATAACCCAGAAAGACAGATCCCCAGGGAAATGCCTGACGATTATTTCCAAATTCTTGACTAACCTGGGGCTTTCTCTCCCTTGGACTGCTGGATGTCTCCTGCTGCTCAGGTGATGTGATTGCCCACAAGGTCCTGACGAGTCCTCTGTAAACAAAATTCAAAGAAGAGGACTTGCTCAACACACCTGCCACAACTCACCTGCAGGGTCTATCAAACTGAGTTCCTGATTCAGTAAATCCAGGGAGGGGACTGACGATTTGAATTTCTAACAAGCTCCAGGTGAACTGCTCTCTGAAGATCAGAATTTGAGAAAGACTAAATTAGCCAGTTCAGTGGTTTCCAAACTGGAGTCTTTTATCTACCCAGAGAATTTTTTGTTTGTTTAAATGCAGATTCCCAAGTCTACCCTGAGTTTACAGAATCAAAATTTCCAGGGTGCAAGACTTAATCACTTGCACTGCTTTTAAGCTCAGCAAGTATATCAGTCCATTTTGTATATCAGTCCATTTTGATACTGCTATGAAGAACTGCCCGCAACTAGGTAATTTATGAAGGAAAGAGGTTTAATGGACTCACAGTTCAACATGGCTGGGGAGGCCTCAAGAAAAGCAGTCATGGCAGAAAAGGAAGCAAGACACCTTCCTCACAAGGAACAGGAAAGGAAAGCGCCCAGTGAAGGGGGAAGAGCCTCTTATACAATCATCAGATCTCGCGAGAACTCACTCACTAGAAACTTGCCAGGAAACCACCTCCATGATTCAATTACTTCCACCTGGTCTCTCCCTTGACATGTGGGAATTATGAGGAAGGCAATTCAAGATGAAATATTGGGTGGAGACACAGCCAAACATCACCTTGGGGCACAGGCTCAAAAACAGGTGAGTCAAACCATGCTATTTAGAGATATTGAACCCCATAGCCAAGGGCTGAATCAACTCTTACATTTGGTTTATGCCTTCAGAATCTCAGCCATACTTATCTGTGGTCGCTTCCTGCTTTGCTATGCTTGCTAGTGATGTTGCCATTTGGGGTGCTGTAATTTCCTAGAATACTGGAATATTCATTCTTACAGAAAAGACCTTTCATTTGTTCTGTGAGGCACCCAAGGCACAGAAGAGGCAGAGTAGCACAGGATCTGTTTAAAAGTGCAGACCCTGAAATTAGGCTACCTGGGTTGCACCTGGCTACCACTTATCAGCTGTGCCAACCTTGGGCAAAGCTTGTGAAACTCTCTAAGTCCTACAGTTTTCTCATCTGTGAGATGTGGGTAATAGTGCCCTCCCAAGAAGACTTGTATAAGGATTAAATTAGTTAAAATCTACAAAGTGCCTAGAGTAGAGCCTGGGTCTATTTTGTGGTATGGACTTTCTTTTTTTTTCTAATGTACGATTGGAGGCTATTGGTTAAGAGATTTTAGCTCTGCTAAAACCTTTCAAATAGAATTTTGTTAAAGTAGATTATATTCTTTCAAAGTGCGTTGAAAAATAGCTGGCATTCAAATATAGGGCAGGAAATCTATGAATCAGGATATTTTGGATGCTGTACATGATTGATGAGAAAACAATAGGACATTTCAAATAACCCAGAAAGACAGAACCCCAGGGAAGTGCCTGAGGATTATTTCCAAATCCTTGGCTAACCTGGGGCTTTCTCTCCCTTGGACTGCTGGATGTCTCCTGCTGCTTAGGTGATGTGATTGCGCACAAGATCCTGATGAGTCCTCTAAACAAAATCCAAAGAAGAGGATTGGCTCAACACATAAAGAATTGGTTGCTCCACACATTGTTTGATTTTACGACTTTAGAGAGGAAAATACTTCCATGAAACTTAATTGCTGCTTATAGGTTTCATTTGCTTGTACCTTCTATGTGCCTTTTAAAACACAAACAATAGGCTAGGCACGGTGGCTCATGCCTGTAATCCCAACACTTTGGGAGACTGAGGCGGGTGGATCATGAGGTCAGAAGATCGAGAACATCCTGGCCCACATGGTGAAACACCGTGTCTACTAAAATAGAAAAAATTAGCCTGGTGTGGTGGCAGGCACCTGTAGTCTGAGACTCGGGAGGCTGAGGCAGAGGAATTGCTTGAACCCAGGAGGCAAATGTTGCAGTCAGTGGAGATCGTGCCATTGCACTCCAGCCTGACAAACAGAGCAAGACTCTATCTCAAAAAAAAAAAAATACTAATAAGAAACACAATATCAGTAATTATGATTTTTAAATAAAAGCTTATCTTTCAGTAAGTCTTTATCCCCATGGATAGATTTATAAAGTTCTTTCAGAATCTGAGATTATTGAACTTTGCGTGTCCTAGCAAGGTCCAAAAAAGAGTGAAAAGGCCTTTCATTTGCTCTCTCCGTGGGGCACCCAAAGCACAAAAGAGGCAGAGGAGCACAGGATCTGTTTAAAAGTGCAGACCCTGGAATTAGGCTACCTGTGTTGAATCTGGTAGCCTAATGTGGGTTATCATATGTGTACACATATGATAAAATGTTTTATATATGTGTATCCTATATACAAAACAATTTAAATAAGTTCATATATATGTATATGTGTACATATACATACAGACCCATATATACATACACATACACGTATGTATATACATACACATACACGTGTATGTATATACATATATACACATGTGTGCACATCCATATATATATACACACATATACACACGATACACATATGTTATATATATGTGTATCGTATAAACATATAGAACATTTTAAATAAATTCAGTACCTCAGTGTGAAACACAAAATCATATTAGGTAGCATAGCTTTATATGTGTGTGTGTGTATAAATATATACCTCAAACTGAAGCACTGAATTGTTAACATGATTACTAAACCTAATAATCAAAAATGAAGTTATTGGCCGGGTGCGGTGGCTTAGGCCTATAATCCCAGCGCAGCACTTTGGGAGGCTGAGGTGGGCAGATCTCGAGGTCAGGAGTTCGAGAACAGCCTGGCCAACACAGTGAAACCCCATCTCTACTAAAAGTACAAAAATTAGCCGGGCATGGTGGTGCACGTCTATAGTCCCCGCTATTCGGGAGGCTGAGAAAGGAGAATCTCTTGAACCTGGGAGGCAGAGGTTGCAGTGAGCCAGGATCATGCCACTGCACTCCAGCTTGGGCAACAGAGTGAGACTTCATCTCAAAAAAAAAAAAATTATTTCCAAAATGATGAATATCAAAAAAGCCATAAACTACTCTCCAAACCTACTGAAAAAATTCCTCGGTAATTGTCCATCTATTATGTGGGAATCTTGTATCTCAAAGCTGTTTCTTAAACTAAAGAATAAATATACCGTCATTTGAAGACAAATACTTCCTAGGAGCACTAGGATATTGATTCATCAGTTTCAAACAGCTTATCATATAATGAACTCATAAGAACTAACTATAACCATGAGGAGCAGTGAAAACCTTGTCAGAGGAAACGAACAGAGTGCCCTCCGTGGAGGTGAGCCTTCTGTGGTGGATTTCAAGGTGAGCATGAAAACAATAATGCTAAGATGCTCGTAAAGACCAGATAAAATCTTTTAAATTATATATAGAACAACTTTAAATACATATTTGATATACCTATATAGAAGACACAATTTTCATAGAATTGTATATAATTGTATACAATATTAACCAAGATTCATTTTTAAAAACAGCTACTGCCATCATTTTCTCTTTCTCACAATTTTATTTATATAGTTTGATTGAATAAGTAACATACCTTTAATAATTTTAAGAAGCTTGCAACAAATAAATGATACACAGACATGGTGTTATTGAGGCTGACAGGAAAAGTGGATGTGGGACCACTATAAACAGAAACCACAGTCAACAGAGAAGTGGTCGGTGCCGGTCCCAGGGGCTATGATGCTCTCTGATACATGGCAGGTTGCATGGTCAGAGAATAAAGACGTCCCCACTCTATCGTTCATTATTTTATTCATTAACCTAATGTGTGGACAGATGATATGAACCCTGCTCCTGCCCTCCCTCCTACTGAGTCCTCGCTGTCTCAATGCCATGCCTCTGAGAGCTGTGGCCATTGTGGACAAATGGCATGTACCCTGCTCACAGTAAACACACCACGTTGAGTAAGACAAATCCTTCCAGATTCTCCCACTCGCTGTAATCTAGTGCAGTTGGTTTGATGGCGGAGGCCTTCATTGTATGGTAGGACTCAAGGGAGTGACCTAGACTACCTGGGTGTACAAGCAGCCACGTCCGTCTGGCCGATTGAAGAGCAGGCACAATGGAGCCTACCTGTGAGCCGGGGCGGCCGGTTATATGAGTCCTCCTGTGACTGCATTGGCTCCTCTTGCTGACATTGACAAGAGAACTCCAGAGTAGATAACCAGCTCGTCACACTTTCCTCATTCCCTATTTTTACGCATTTCGTGAAACCTCTTTTGACCTAAAATGATGGCCTTAGCCTTCAAAATGCCTCGGACCAAGGCTTAAAATGTGAGTGACTTCTGCCCACCATTCCACCTGCACCTTTTCAGGAAACTGCCCCAGAAAAGCACAGTCACATTTACAGGCATCATTTCTTGCTGGGCACCACAAAGACAGCCACGGAGTTGATCTTTTCCTCCTGCGATGAGATCTCTGGGACTCACATTGTTTCTCTCTTTCATGGACAATGGCCCAAAGCACATGCTGTGAACAGGGTCTCGAAAAGGGAAACAGGCAACAGGGAGCGACATAGCTAAGGAGGCCAGCGCTGGAGAGCCTGTGCTGCAGAGGAAGGACCTTCCATTGGCACAAATACAGGGCATACAAGGGACTGTGAGTGCTGTGGTACCTCTGTGAATGGCTGCCATGTGCTACGGGTGAGCCAGAATGGCTAACTGAAAAGTATTCAGCTGCATGGATGGTACTCGTAAAGGGGAAATCAAAAGTGTGGGGCAAATGAAGGGTTGATAGCACTGAAAATTTCAAGGTCTTTGTTTTTCCTGAGAGCACTTTCTGTCAATTCTCCCAACAACGACCTGGGTTCTAACGGGCTCTCTCATAGAATCTTCCAGTATGACTCTGACTTCAGGAACACTTTGGCAACTGTTTTTCAAAGCTTCACAAGGAAATGCATAATTTAGTTTATTATTAATTCCTGTGCATGCATGTGTGTGTGAATATGTTTTAAAAGGAATGATTGGCTGCAATGGAGAGGTGGGGCTTTGCCAAACAAACAAAGAAACAAACAAAAACCCAGAAAAACCCTAAGTTAAAATCCATGTAAATAGGGACATTTAAAAAACATACAGTATAGACATTATCTTAGTCATCAAAAGAAGAAATTTGCAGTGTGGCCCTTCTAGCCTTGAAGGACCAGACTCAGAGCCAAGAGAGACAGACAGCTGTCCTAGCTATGACAGCCTGACTCTGTAATATATTCTCCTTCCCATCACTTTGTGGCTATCCTGGCACTTTTTTTCCTAAACAGTTACAGTTTCAAGTGATATAATTCTCCAGAGTACATTGCCATGTCCTTTATATTTTGTGATCATTGATCTTTGCTATAAAACTATACTGTTTGAGTGTAAAGTTTGTAAGCTTTAATAATAGACTTTTCACTTTCAGTCCACAGGATACCATCACTGAGCTGGAATACAACATGGGGCATCTGAAAAGAAGAACCAAAATAGATGCCTGGTCTTCAACTAAATTACCTGTTCATCTTTTTCCAGGAAACCTTGGAACACCAAGGAATCAGCAGTCAAACGAGCTCAGTCTCTCAGAACACATGTGGGGGAATTGAGTATTTCAACTTTTAGGTAGACAGTTTCTACAAGCTAAATAGTGGAACGAAAGGAGCCAAATAAAGAAGTTATAAAACACGTGCATATTTAGCCCCTACTTTTTATTAAACTAAGACTTTTTATTCACATATCAATTAATTAGTTTATTTATTATTATTCATTTATTAGTGAGTATTTTTCACACTCGGAAAAAATTAAAGCAATTGTCTTCAAGTGTAGAAAACTAAATAGTCATTGTATATCTGTTCCTAATTATCAAGCTACTTCTCTGAATCTCACTTCAAACTTCATTAAGAGATTTATCTAGAGGACATCTAGATAATTGGAAGATTACTTCCAATTCAAATATTTTGTGAGTTGATGAGAATAATGTTGTAGCCATTAGGTCTAATCTATCTATCTATCTATCTATCTATCTATCTATCTATCTATCCATCTATCATCTATCTTTCCTTCTCTCTAAATCTTTATCCTATCCTATTTTACACACACACATAGATCCTCAACATACAAATTTAGGGCCTCAAAACCAATTTCTGAAAACAGATTGCTTTTTCACTTTCTAGAACCGTAGTGTTTTTGTATCATTTTCTTTCTCATCAATATTCATATTGGTCGACTCCATTGGCTGAGATAAATTTTTATCTAGAGGGAATGTATGGATATCTCCGCGGAAAGAGAACAGCATTATCGGATGTTGTCTTCTTAAAAATCATCCGTCTCAGCACTGAGCATATTACCACAGGGAAAGGTGATTGGAGACAGCACATGAGGTGTGGTTTTATCCTTGCGATTTCAGTTTGTGTTGTCTAGATGGTCATCATCTTTTACTCTACTGCTAAAATCCCCATACTTCATGTCATTATTATTTAGTAATTAATATTTAGTGAGGTACTTAGGTATAAGACACTTTACAGACTATAAAGACAAGCAAAATTTTCTTGCTTTTATTATTATTATTTTTTTTAATTTCCCACAGAACTTGCTAGTTATTTGCTACTTAGGGAAAATTGCTGGCACATTTACTCTTTAAACATTAAGTAAAGGAAGGATTTCTTAAGAGAAACTCTGTGTACTTTTCGGACAGTCAGAAGTGCTACGTCTCATTATACCCTCATCTCCTAAATAAAGGGTTCAGATTAGATGCTAAGATTTCACCTACAGTTGGAGGTCTCTGTGGCATCTTAAATGAGGGTTTCATGCCTCTGAGTGCCAGATGAAAGTGTGCAGAGGACCAAGATGAGGACCTGATTGAAAAGTTGGTTGAGACACAAGAGAGGTGAATGCACTCCTAGGCAGCTCTTACATACCAAGTCAGCACTGGGGGATGTGGGAGGGGAAGCATGAAATTTAAGGTTGAGAAATTTTGGCAATTCAACCCCCAAGTGCCACTGAGCCCTCCTGGCTGGCAGAAACAGCCCTTCCCACTGCACAAAGAAGAAAGGCTCCCATGGTTTGGAGACCATGTGCATGCGAGAATCTCACCTCAAGCAGGTGCATCATAATTGCTTTCTTGCTCACCTCAAACCTCATCCCCAACAAAGCTTTTTAGCCCCAGGACAAAAACCTGAGTCAGGGGAGTACAGCCTTATTTCAGGAAGAAACTGCTTTCATGGCAACAGGATAAATATACGTGGTTAATATGGATTTGGATATAAACTGGGGGGAGATACACAGAAGTGAGCAAAATGGAAGACTAAGCAGAAGAGGATGTTCAACGAGGGCAGACTCACCCATGATTTCGGATTTAATGGGATGTCAGGAATCCCTGGAGTTGGCCCTAAGTATGTCAGGGAGCATCCTAAAGTGTGATTTAATGGTGGCCGATAATAGAAGTACACCTGACAGAATTTTCATAGTATATTGGTGAAGGAGGGGCCAGAAGGCTGGAGGCAGGAAAGCTAGAGTGCATGTATAGTGTGCATCCCAGAGGATGAGGATGAGGATGCACCCATGAGGGACAGCTCCAGCATCATCCTAACAATTTACTGATTGTCCTCTGCCAGCCAGAACTCGCAGAGCTATGGCCATCAGAGTGAGACCCCATGGTCACTGGAGATCACAGGGTTACAGAAAAGCAGAGGTCAGGACAATCCTCTACCTTCAGAAGCAAAGTCAGTGTAACTACGGCAATAGCAGCAAGACTAGAGTGGAAATCTGAGTGTCTATTTGTGGCAATGAATCATAGACCATGATTTTCCTAGGAATCAGACAGATGAGCAAACAGCTGACTAAGGGGCCACATGATTCTCTTAATCTGTATAGAAAGCTAATGCACAGAAACCACTGCCATGCAAAGTTGCTCCTTGAGGAAGGACTGTGCAAACCCATAAACATTCTTCTGATCCTTCTCTAAAGAGAGACACAGGTATTCTCCAGGCTATCTCTTCAACGGGCAAAGTGAATGATCCAGACCTCTCAAGGTTTGGTTTCAAATAGGGTCTGAGCTGATACTGATAATTGAAGACCTAAAACACCACCATCTACCACAGGTGAGTCTAGGAGCTCAGAGAAGCCAGGTGAAGGAAGGGAAATAATTTTGGCCCCAACTGATGTCGCACTGGATCCAAGTGGCTCCCTGTGCCAATGTGTGGAGTGGAAGTCATCTTTTTCTTATCACACCCAATGACCCATTTTCAGTATTGGCTCTTCTTGATGCCCTAATCTAGCATTCTGCTGATTAGTGTTCCCAGGAGAGGGGAAGACACATGCCACAGAATACAGTGTGAGTCCCACTAAAGTGGAAGCTACATCTACCTCCTGGCCACCTTTAGATCCTCACGGCAAAGGATCCGTGAGTGAAAAGGCAGTTGCTCCACTGGCTGGAATGTTGACCCTAATGACCGTGAAGAGGCCGGGTGGCCAGCATCGAGGAGGCTGGCAGGGGAAAGGATGGCATGGAAGCCTCTTCGCACCTCCATGGCTCGGCAGTAACTGTTTCGGGAAAAATATAGCAATTAAAAGACAGCAAAAGGAGATAACCCAAGTGTTTAGACCTTCATCAATCCTGGTCTGGGTCTTCTCACCAGGCAATGAACCAGACAGGCCAAAGTGAGGGTAACGGAAGCCTGACATGGGTAATAAAGGGGAGAGAAGATGAATGTCCCTTACGTCTTCAAGCCAACCACATTAGTGGGGCCTGAGGCTTGGTCACTAATTTGTGAGCTGAAGCCTTACAGGAGATAACAACTAGACATGAGGTTCAGGGAGAGAAGAGCCCATTACTTGACTGTGACTTTCTCCCCCACTCAGGAAAGAAGTGCAGGGGGGCCAGCGTCCATAGTGGGGAAGCTCAACCAGTGCCAGGCAGACTCATAAACCCCCTCTGGAGATGGCTCCAAGGCATAGTTTCTCCTTACACATCTTCCTTAACATGTTCCATATGTTGTGCAACCAAGACTACTCAGCCCCCTGCTGTCTCTATTTACAGCAGAGCATGCATTCCTGGCTGGTGCAGCAAAGTGTTCTCTCTGGACGGCTTTCCATCCCCATTGCCCCCTCTCCCTCACCTCCACTTCCCTTGCCTTCAGCCTTTCAAATAGACTGTCAGCATTTCAATCTGCGCCTCAGGTTCTACTTTCTAGAAAATCTTGGCTAAAACAGTGGACTTAAAATGCGGTATATCATAAAAATATGATTAAATGACTGGTAATACTGTGACAAGTATTAATAAAATATGGGGAGACACTAGAAAGGCTTACAGTGTCTAGGAAAGGAAAACCCCTTGAGGCTGAGACTGTGAGCATTGGAAACAACTTTGGAAGTTGCCAAGATCAACTTCTGCATTTTAGAGGTGAGAAAGTTGAAGCTCAGAATAATCTCTTAACTTTCCCAGGGTTACATAAGCCCCCAATAGCACAGCTGAGACTATAACCCATGTCTCAGGAGTCTTAAATCACAATGTAGTCTACTGCATCATTTTGTGTACAGCAAGGATTGGTTAAATTCCTTCAGTATTCCCAAGAGGGTCGTTTCCAGAAGCTGGTTATTTGAACCTCAACATCCCCGAAGAAGATATGGATATCTAATCAGGCTATAATATTAATGGAAATGCCTTAGACAATACTGGGATGTCTGCACGGACCTAACCATGAGGAATAATGATGTTTATAATTATCATTATCTTTACTGTTCCCAATGTAATTCTCATGCTTGTAATTCCACATGTTTTACAGAGTGCATTCACACATGAATTCCCACTTTCAGTACATAAACAAATTTATATTTATGGTTTGTAAGTTAGCTGAGCATCTCTCTGTTCCCCAGAGCCTAACTACCTGTGGGTAAATGGTCAAAATTGCATTTCTAGAGCTACAAGTTTTAGTATCCCAGGTCCTAGACCATTTTGAGTAATTCCTACAGCCCGGCTTAATTTCTGCACAGTCTGATAGCCTCTGCACTCAAGATTACTGTAGGGAAATTACTGCTTCAAAGCACCCACGAGTACGCTCGTAGGCTAAAAATGAATGAAACATTCACAAATGTCTAACATTCTTCCAGAGAGTTATGTCCACAGAGTGGGAATCTGAATTAGGATGATGTTCTATAACCTTACATAACATCAGTGGTGCTCAGTTCTCCCATTCCTAAAATGAAGGCTTGCAACAGATGATCTCTGAGGACTGTTTGCTCTCTAACATTCTGTGATTCATTATGGCTTTCTTCTTAATGTATTTTTCCCTTTCTTGTTTTCTTAAGTTTGGTCTTCCAAACTTTTTATTACTGCCATTTACAGATTTATTTTTTAAATCACAATACTCTGTTCTTCTTTCAAGATATATTGAAAAATTTAATTAACTTTCCTGAAATATTTTGCTATGAGCTGCAGGAGGAGACTAGGCTACTTACACCACCATGGTATCACAGGTGCCTTTCATTGTAGTATGTGGGGATTTGGTCCAAGACCCTCCCCACGTTGTATGGAAGTGATGCAGCTTGTTAAAATGTAGGGCTCTCGAAGTGTATGCTTTGCTCTCAGCTGTTACATAATGCATGAGCACAGTATATTAATAGGAGCAATTTGGTAAGTCTAACCAAAACAAAAGAAAATGTACTTAATCATAGGAATACTTGCAATTCAGCTATATTTTTCATAACCGTTGGAATGTCTCTGTGTATTTTTGGTTTACACAAAATAGACTGATGGCACTCTTAATGCACTCTTAAAAGTTTATTCATGTGCTGTTCTTAGGAAAGAGGAAGAGAATAAACAGGAGGATACGATTAGATATTAAGAGCAAAGCAGAAAGAGCAAGAACAAGATAATTAAACGCAGTGATTCGCCTAGCAGCATTTGATTCCATTCTCTTAGGCAAAAGAAATAAAAAAAAAAAGAAGAAAAGGAGGGAGGGAGAAAGAAAGGGAGGGAAGGAGGGAGGAAGGAAATGCAGAGGCCATAGGTAACAATGGCATTAAAATATACTTCTGTCATATTTAGTCCTCAGTGGAAACACAGAGCAGGCACAAAGATCTCATACTTATATTTAAAGTAGATACCAGAAAGTGTGGCCCAAAAAGACATTTGGCAAAGGGAAGCCTGGAATTTGTCATCTTTGTCCGTGCGCCTTTTCAAATCCCAACTTCCAGATGCCTTGTGACTCTGTTGCCTTCCACTTAACAAAAGTTACCCACTAAAGTAAATTTACCTACTCCAGTGCCCTATCCTCCACTAAAGTTCATATTCCCTTAGGGCATTAATGATGCCTCCACGTAGAAGTAAAGCACAATCATGTGCATTTATGGGAGAAACATGTTCCAGTCAACGGCATCCTGATGAATGGTGAAAGCTTATTGTGGAAAAGGGGAAACTGTTTGTGGTGTTAGCTCCCCGGCCAGCAGGATAGGAAAAGAATGTGCTCAGCATCTTGGCATCCTAATTCTGAAACAGTGTCAATCCCTGGTTTAGACTGATCTTGTTTTAGAGTTTTAATGTTTCCACTTCAAAAGTTATGGGAGCTTGCTACAGACAAATCAATTCTCAGACAGATTACAAGGGTTTTTCAAACCTGACCTTCCAGTTATCAGCACTCATCTTTAGACGACACATGCTACTATCAGTTTCTTGGTTGACCCCATGGTCTTGATAACTATGATAGTATGTTGATTTTAGAGACAAGAACTAATGAAGGGATTGCAGATAAAGACAACACACTGGATTTTAATTTATAGAAAACAAACAAATATTGAGACTGGTCAGTAAGGAGTGAGGTTTGTTCTTGAAACTGGAAAGTTGTGATTAGAGGAAATATTGAGAGAGACATTGAAATATTACAAAAGATGCACTTTTATGGCCCATTTCAAGTGGAATTTCCTGCAGTCTTTTCCCTCTTTGCACACTTGCAGGCTTGTCTCTGTCTTCTGAACCGTGACGGGTCATCCTTCCCCTCTCCTTTCCTCAGACACTGGGGACCCCCGATGACATCCATGTCTTCTACAATCCAAATTGTGAAAGAGAACATCAGGAGGCACCTTAATTACTTCCTCTATGCCAGTTCCCTTGGCATACAAAATAATCCTCTCCTCATTTCTTCCCATCCCTCTGAATATTCTGTTACCGTACATTAAACGCAGACGTGTCTCCCAGCTCCACTCTCGGTCTTCACCAATACCCATTCTCTACTCTTCCGCATGGTCATACCACTGCCATGTTTCAGGTGGGGATACAGAGGCTCTTACTCTAGATTGAAAACTCCGGCTCAACATCTCCCACACCGCCGAGTTATCATCCGCCGAAGCTTATTATTATTTATTTATTGGAGGTTGAAGGCATTTACCAGGCTAGAAAACTCCGTGTCAACTCTTTTCCATCATTCCTCACCACCCACATTCAATCTGTCTACAGTTTCCGTGATCTACTGCTATGCGTTCTCACTTTTGTCTCTTTTCTTTCATTGCCTCAAGTAATACCTTAGCTCAGGCACTCCTAATCTCTGCCTGCAATCCTCTGACCAACATCATACTTCCTGACTCTTCAGAGTATATCAGCACTACCTGAAGAGCCCTGAGAAATGCAGAGTCCCAGGCCCCTCCCTGGACCTGCAGAATCAGAACCTGCATTCAGCAGCATCCACTGGTGGCCCGTGTGCTCACAGAAGTTTGAGAATCACAGCCTCCCTGACCTTGTTGTTGACTGCATTATCCCTCTTTAACCTTCCCTCCACCCTGGTGCCACTTATGTGCTCCAAATATTCAAAACAGACTTCCACCATAAACATGGCTATATACAGCATGGCAGTTTAAAGCATAGAGACTTGAGCCAGACTAACTAGTTTCATAACCTATGGCACCATTTATCTGTTCATTGCAAATGGCCAAGTTGCTTAACTTTCTGCATACCTCTGTATGCTTATCTTACTATTACACTTACTTCATAGGGTGTTATGAAGATTAAATGGCATACGGTATGATGTAGAATGGTTTGTGTGACATATTAGGCACCATAGAATATTAGATACTATTACAAATACTATTGTCATGACTATATTCCTCCTGTGTATTATACAAACAATAACAGGAGAAAAGGAAGAAAACACAAACTCCATTTATAGCAAAAATAAGAGATAGACATAATTCAAAGATATATGTAAGGTCAAATGTCTCTGCAATTAGGCATAAGCTGTACCCTACTAAGTGAAGGGAAGTTGTGCAGGAAGATAATTCAGCAGTGGCAATTCTTAGAAAGCCTCAGAAGCTCACCTGGCTCACACTGGAGTTGCAACGTTTGTTGCAACAATTAACATGGGGTCAGGGTAAGGAGAGGGAGCCACGGAAATTCTGTTGGATTCATTTTGGCGCAGAGGAGGAGAAAAAGAGTCTATCAAAGAGCTCATGAAAGAGATCGTGTTTGAAGGGATTCGTCCTTTTCTTTCTTCAGTCGAAAATGGGAGGGCATTTGGGCTCTGAAGGCCAGAAGCTACCCCGGTCCGGGAAAATACTAAAAAAGAGAAAAATGCACACATACATGCTCACATGCATACATATACCCATAATCATTAAATAAACAATTTTAAAGTTCAAGAGAAAAGAAAACTGTCAACAGATAAAAAATATTGTTTAGCAAAATGCTGTTATAAAGCAATTAAAAATTAGGAGCATGTTATTCTCCTAATATGCTCTGCATATTTCATTCTATGCTATTCGTTGTTTAACTTTTATCCTCATTTCAAGAAGCCATTCTACCTTCGACCTCCTAACAGGTTGAAATAACCTATTTATCCTATCAAGAACATTTCCTCTTTTTCTTTTACACTCTCCTATGAAGGAAGCTGCCTCCTTTTTGGCGTCCCTGTAAAATCTGCTCCAGTTCACTTGTTGCATTTATTACACTATGTCCTCTATTACAATCCTATTGTTTCATTTACACTATTAAAGCAAAAGCATTTTATTATAAAAAACATTGATAACAAATGAAAAATAAGTAGACTATAGCAAATAAAAGCTATGTAAGGAGATAAATTTAAAATAAAATTAATTATACCAGTCAAAATACTAATTATATAGAGTTGAGCATTTTAGATTTATTTTTATTTTTATTTTTCTGAGACAGAGTCTTGCCCTGTGCCCCAGGCTGGAATGCAGTGGCACGATCTCAGCTCACTGCAGTCTCTTCATCCTGGGTTCAAGTGATTCTCCTGCCTCAGACTCCTGAGTAGCTGGGATTGCAGGTGCCCCCCACCACGCCTGGCTGATTTTTATATTGTTTTTAGTAGAGAAAGGGTTTCACTTTGTTGGCCAGGCTGGTCTCCAACTCCTGAAACTCAGGTGATCCGCCCACCTCGGCCTCCCAAAGTGCTGGGATTACAGGCGTGAGACACCACGCCCAGCAATTTTAAAATTCTTATAGCAATAGCACCCTGATCCCACTGACTTTGTAACTATGCTTCATAGTGTAAGCATTTCAGCTTAGGGTTTTTCCAGCGAAAGGTATTTTTTTTAGACTTTAAAACTTGCACCCATATATTTCTTTCATATTTTTATTACTTCTATAGTCACTTTGACTTCGGAAGTCTTCACAGTCTTTTTACTGAAACACTGGGATGGTTTTCATGGAAGGGAAGAAGCAGGCAGGAGGTTAAGAAGAAAACAAGAACATGGAGTCCTCACTTCTCAGGATAAACACTCATTATACTGTATATTGCCAACGGGCCGGTTGGCAATGTTCTGATAACTTCACAGATTCATAGATTATTCCTGCATTTTATCTTTTTGTTGTGTCTAATAACCCTGAAGGCTCAAGTTCCCTGAAATAATCACACAGCAGCCTCTTACTTATTACAACATTTAGAAAATTATATTTTATCCTCCCAGATACTTCTTTTGCCCAGCTTTCACCTTCCCTTCTACCCTGTCAAAAATTCCTTGAGATTTTTTTCTCTCTCCTGTTCACACAGTGAAATAATCCCTGCTATGAAATCTTGCAGGTTCCCCAACCCAATTCTGAATCGCCACCCCCAGCATCAGTGCTGTGCCCTTGACTTTGAGTGAGCCGTGTGGTTCCGGGAGCCAGGGTTGCCTGCCTCAGCATTGTCTCCTCATCTTTCCTCTCTCTTCTATTATTCAGTGAACCAAGAACCGGTGTGTCTTCAGCCGGAGAATATATTTGATGATCAATACCCTGCATCCTCATTTCAGACTTTCTAAGCATGTATTTTCAATGATCTCTGAGAAAATTTGAACTGAAATAATCTCTGTGAAAGGGTGGTAGGACTTCTTCCAAGTTCTTATCCCAATAACTATCTTGGCACTTGTCATCACCATCTAGTCCAAGAATATATATAGCCAATTTTTCTTTCCTGCCCCATGATGTGATTCTAAGCCTCTAGAAACAGGAATCCCTTCTTTGGTAGTGAAACCTCATAGGAATTGTGTGGCCCTTGAATGACACAGTTATCTAAAACACTTAGTAGAATATTTTACACATATACATATATACAGAGAGAATTTATATAATAAATATTGGTTATTATCATTATTTTTATTTTTTCACCTGAACACTGATATTATGTCTCTTCTAATTTTCCTAGTAGTTTTGATGAAAGATGTCAGTTTCCAGCATCTAATGAAATATAGTTTTACTCTTTCCACCAAAAGAAAGCACCCATACTATATTCAAATATCAGATCATTTTTTCTATGTCACCAGCAGTTACCTCATTTGGCAAAACACTGGAGGTTTCCTTTATTCATTTTTATATCTACCATAAATCTACACCGTGACTTGTGTACAACAGATGTCTTATAAGAGGGGAAAAAGTGAACGATGAATGTGTATGAATTAAATCACCCGCCTGTCATTTTTTTTTCACTTAGATGACTAACCGCTTTTATCATCAAAATTTGAGATTTTTTTTCAGATATCAAATTACACTTTTAGACACTGGCACTTTACCTATTCTCTCATGTTGCTTTTTCATTTTTATGAGATATTTCCTCCCTAGAAATTTGAAATTCAGACACACGTTAAAGAGAATCTCTCAAATCTGAAAAACTTTAAAAGAGAATCCTTTGGAGAGTGGAGGACGTCAGTGGTGCCCTGTTAAGAAGCAGCAAAATGTGACCGCATCCTCTTTGTTGCCCTGTTAAGGGAGATAGATTTTAATTTCCTGAAAGGAAATCCATGCCAAGCCAGTCTGAGCGCACACCATGCTGCCGCTCTCGGCCTATGGAGTGAGAGGCTGATATCTCACCTGCAGCTCAGTAATTGTGAGAAGAAATGTCAATTCCAACCTCGGCAGGAGCAGAGGAACTCACTTTGGAAGTTTCCATCTTGGTAGTCCATACAAAGAAAGAAAATTCCTTACAAGGGGTTACGTTCCGATTTCTCACTACAGATGGGCTTTCTTTTGATAATTCTACAAAATGTAGAATGAAGACCCCATACAGTTTAACTTTTTGAAACAGAAAAGCAGATTTTTCTTTCTATAAAGGAAGCATCTCCTAAGACCTATAAAGGATTTTTTCTTTCCTATTATTAAATGCTTTTCTCTTCCAATAAGCCCTGTTTCTCCTTGACTTCCTTTTCTGGGCTGATTTTCATTTTAGGAGGAAAAACAAAAATATTTCTCAAAAGCAACAAAGAGGCTTAGAGCATATATAGCTTGCTCTAACAGGTGTGCCTTACCTCACAGTATAACAAAAACATCATGACTTATTTTCAGGGAAAACCCAACTCCGTACAAAATTCCCTAAAACAAGGATGTTCCCCTGCAGCCAGGTTCACCACATGAAAAAAGCTTTATTCAGTGTTTACTGTCACAACAGGGCATTTGGTAAGTATTATACTCAAAAAGGAAAAAAAAAATCATTGTTGGTTACAAGAAGGCACTCAACAACTTAGAGTACATCTGCCCAGGGCCATATGGCTGTGTGTGGAGGCGTTTCTTTCTTTGTTATTGCACGGTCCTCAGAATTAAATGGACCTGCGGACAAATAGACCCTAATCAATGGTTCATTGACGGGCCAATCAAGTAAAAGTGAATACTTGAAGAAAAAATTAAATCCAGAGTACTTCTTAGAGGCCTCTAGTTTCAGAGGACATAAGGGCTAATCCAAAGTTGGAAAAAAACAAAACACTGTTCCTCTTTTTGTCTTACAAATAATAACAACAGATTTCCCCCCAGATAAGTCTCCTTGATGTAATGTTATTCAGCATCTACGATGATTTAAAGAACCTACAAAATAGGGTTGTTTTCTTTCTTGCCGTAGATGACCCCATGGCTTGGGGACCACTGTGCCATATTGTGCTGAGAAGGCTCAGATTGGGTGGCTGTGAATAACTCACAGAGGTGTGTACGTGTTTCTTATTTTGCTGACCTGCAGCTTACATATCTAGACTAGGAGACAGAGCAAATTCGTGACAGGCAGTTGAGAGAAGCAGAATGCAAGGGAAAAATCTGGGGCAGGCTGAGCCCAGATTCCCATCCTATCAGGGGAGAACAGCAATTCCTACTTGGGGCCATTAAGAGACAGGAAAGAAAGGTGAAGGTCAGATGTTGGCAGAGCAGGAAGCTTCAAATTTGAACAGACTGAGCGTAGACTCAGAATCCGTTCCCATCTAGGTCAAATCTAACAGGGGTTGCCAGGAAGACAGGTCTGATGACCTGGGCAGAGGAATTTCTAAGTTCCTTGCAGGGAGATCTGTTTGGAAGAAGACTTCACCCTGGCCCAGCTGCTGCACGAGCCCAGCCCTCCAGCCCCGGACCTACTGATAGCCATGGTGATAAGGAAGCATTCTTTCTAGAAGGAATATAGTAGCATTTAAAACAGGATTACCTGATCTTGGGTCCAGGAAAGGCAATGCTCAGCCACCTACAACAGTAACATGCAATTAAAAAATCTATCTGCACACCCAGCCCAAAATCATCTCAATAGTTGGTGAGTGACTGAAACCGTGCCTCATAAATAAGGCTGATGGTTTCGTCTTTACAATACATCACAATTCAGGGTCTGTCCAGAGCAATCATTATTCGATGAGGTAATTACCATTTGCATTTCTTACTGTCCACCAAAGAGTATTTCTGAGAGTGTTCTGTGACCGTAATTTGCCAAAAACGCTATTTGGCAGCTACCAGTGAAGACTCTGTGGTTCCCAAAAAGTAGAGTCTGTCTCTCTGGGAGTTCACCACATTACGTTAGTGGACTCCTCATTGTAATATCCCACCTGATAATAGCAGCCATTACGACCGTAATATGCTGCAAACAGCTCTTAAATAATGCATTGCAACAAATGGACCTGACTTACTGTCCGTGAGCCAAATCAAAGTCCTAGTCTCTTATTAACAAACATTGGAATGGGCAATTGTAACCTTAGGGAGGTGATCTTAACGGATAGCTGTCCACCAGTGAGAACCCAGAGCACCAAATTATGCTTCAATAAAATAACTCTGCAGAACAAAACACATTATCCCCTGATCTTCACAGCAGCTATATAGCTTTCTCTGATGCCCATTTCCAAATGGGACTTAATGTGGAGGATTTAATGGGTAGGTTTCTGTTATTTCACGTTTTTGCAAATTAACCTACCATAGGAAGCATCTGCCAAGATGCACTCAAAGCATCGGAAACGGCCTTGGATTTGCAAGTACACATTGACTTCCCTAAGCTCCTTTGCCCTCATTGTTTTGCTTTCAAAATTCCCCACGCCAAATATTTCTGTCTGTATTCTCAGAAGAGGCAAATGTGTTTGTCTGCTCCTATTGAGCTTTTCTGTCTAGAATCAATGGACTAAGACATTAATAATAATTGTGTTTCTGGAATCTTTGTAGTGCAAGATTTGGAGCTTTTGTCGTAGCCTTCTGCCGTATCAAAATAACTTTTTATAAAATGTGTTCTCTGAAAAGGGAGTAGAGAAAAAGCATTTCTCTAATACACATAATAAAATTAGAGAGCAATAAAAAGGAAATTTTTATACTTAAAATTGCCTCTAAAGATGAGTTTCAAAATTTAGCTTTATGGATGATGAAAGTGAGAATGAGGACACCCAGGTACCTGCAACTCCACCTGCAAATATGATTGCAAAGCTCCTTGATGACAAGCTCTCACACTCTTGCTTGCAGGTAGGAGGAGGCTGTCTCTCCTTCTCTCTGGCATCAGCTATCATTTTATCCTGGTAGAGATTTCTGTGATAAGCATCATGAAATTTCCCGTAGACAGCACGGACTTTAATATCTATGCGACGTCCTGACTTCTACCCTTTCCTCCGGTGTCTTTGCATGTGGTGACTCATCTCATGTCTCTTGACATGAGTACAGACAGTGACCACCCGCCGGGTGTCTTTTTCCCTGCTATCACCCAACAAAGCTCCAGACTCTGCAGTTATTAAGGTGTGAATAAGTAACACATACTCGCATGTCATGCAGTAATTGTTCACATGTAACCCATTACTTATTTTATAGATGAGGAAACTGAAACCTAGAGGAAATTGATTTAAAGTCATACAAATGCTTAGTGTTAGAACTGGTACTCAAAACAATTTTTCCTTTTCTAAATACTATAACATGGTACTACATATATCCACAGCGCGTGTGCTGTTCAAAGTACTCTCAGGAAAACTGTTCCACTTTATTTTCAATACAAACCCAGGCACAAGGAGAATAGGAGTCACTGTATCCTATTTTTAAATTTGAGGAAAACTCTGTCTCTCCAGGGAGAGGGGAATGACAGTGGTAAAGGGTGGTTGCGGAGCTGGATTTACATCCCAGCCCTGTCAGCTGTGGGCTGTGTAACCTTGAATAAGTTACTAAATGACTTCAGGTTTTGGTTTACTTTTTTGTTTTGTTTTGTTTAATGGACAAATAATAATTGTACATATTCATGGGTTACATAGTGATGTTTTGATGTATCTAATGAACAGTGATCAGATCGGGCTAATTAGCATACCCACCATCGCAAATATTTATCTTTGTATTGGGAATGTTCAATATCCTCCTTCTAGCTATTTGAAACTAACTAATATATTATTGTTAACTATAGCCATCTTACGGTGATAAAGAACACTAGGATTTGTTCTGAGCAAAACAAGAACCTGAAAAATGAGAGTGAAAACCTATGGAAGAGGTTATTATAAGGACTAAATTAAATGATGTATTTTATAAAATACATGTGGTCCATAGTAAGCCTGTAACAAGCAGAAGCAGTTATTTCCAAATCCCAGTCACCTGTAAAACCAGTTTGGAGCCTGTCGCCTCTCTGAGGACTCCTTACTCTATTCTGATCCTAATGGACGCCTTCTCTGGATGATCATCTACCAAACAAACTTCAGTTGTTGATATACATTTAACGTGTACTAGTTATTGAGACTCCTTGAAGGAAACACGGAGGAAACACTCCCGAATTTCACCCATGAGCTTGTATCTACAGTGGAAATGCAGACACAGGAAGGGACCAGGAGAGAACAGGACAGAGGAGGGAAGAGCAAGTCTTGGTGCTTGGCTGATGAGGAGGAAGTGCTAAACAGAACACAGATGTTTTGTCTTTTCGTGGTTCATTATTAAGGTTTTTAAAAATTAAAAAATTGGTTTTGAATAAAAACAAATTTGGATATATATCAACACCCAAAAAATAGTTTTAGAAAAGCTATAAAATACAGCTTGGCCAATATAGATATTACCCTTTTGTACAATGAAATGGTGAAATGATACTAGACCGTTATGTCATTAATCCAGATCATCTATTTTTCAGAGGCTGACAGTGACACTCAGTGCCTCTCCTGAATTTGTTCCCTAAGATGACTGCTTACCTTTCCAGGAGGGCCGAACAAAGGCTGCAATATTGAAGACAATTAAACTCACCTGAAAGCCACAGTAATAACTTTATTTACCCCTTCTGTAGGATTAACCCTCAAAAGATTGGTAAATCAAACTATGGGCATACCTGAGAGATACTGCAGGTGCAGTTCCAGCTCACTGCAATAAAGTTAATATTGCCATAGAGTCACACACATTTTTTTGGTTTCTGAGTACATAAAATGTTATGTTTACATCACACTATAGTCTATTAAGTATGCAAATAGCATGATGTCTGAAAAAGCTAACGTGCATACCTTAATTAAAAAATAATTTATTGCTAAAAAATGCTAACCTCCATCTCCGGGGTCAAGGGATCCTCCCATCTGAGCCTTCAGCAAGTTATAATCTTTTTGCTGGTAGAGGGTCTTGCCTCAATGTTGATGGCTGCTGATTGATCACAGTGGTTACAGAAGGCTAAGGTGGCTGTAGCAATTTCTTCACATAAAACAACCGTGAATTTTGCTGCATCAATTGACTCTTTCATAAAAGATTTCTCTGTAGCATGCTATGCTGTTTGATAGCATTATCCCCACCGTCAAACTTCTTTCAAAATCGGATTCAAATCCTGCTGCTGCTTTATCAACTAAGTTTGTATAATCACCTAAATAGTTTGCTGTAACTTCAACAATGTTCACAATATATTCACCAGGAGCAGATTCCATCTCAGGAGACCACTTTCTTTGCTCATCCATAAGGAGCAAGTCCTCATACAGTCAAGTTCTATCATGAGGTTGCAGCAATTCAGTCACATCTTCAGGGTCCATTTCTATGGCTAGTCTCTTATTTCCATCACATCTGCCGCTACTTCCTGCACTCAAGTCTTAAACCCCTCAAAGTCATCCAAGAAGGTGGAAATCAACTTCTTTCAAACTTCTGTTAATGTTGATAGTTTGACTGACTTCCATGAATTACAATGTTCTTAATGGCATGAAGAATGGTGAATCTTTTCCAGAAGGTATTCAGTTTACTTTGCACACATCCATCGGAGGAATCACTATCTATGGCAGCTATAGCTTTATAAAATGTATTTCTGAAATAACAAGACTTGAAAGTTGAAATTACTTCTTGATCCATGGGCTGCAAAATGAATGTTGTGTTAGCAGACATGGAAAGAATTTTAATTTTTTTTGTTTGTTTTCTTGAGATAGAGTCTCGCTCTGTCACCCCGGCTGGAGTGCAATGGTGCAATCTCAGCTCACTGCAACCTCCACCTCCCAGGCTCAAGCGATCCTCCCATCTTAGCCTCCCAGGTAGCTGGAACTATAGGCATGCCACCATGTCTGGCTAATTTTTGGTATTTTTATTGTATTTTTGTAGAGACGGTGTTTTGTCATGTTGCCTAGGCTGACAACATTAATCTTGTATGTTTCCTTCAGAGCTCTTGAGTGTTCAAGTGCATTGTCAATGAGTAGTACTATTTTGAAAGGAATCCTTTTTTCTGAGCAGTAGGCTCCAATAGTGGCTTAGAATATTCAGTAAACCATGCTGTAAACAGATGTATGTGCTGTCATCGAAGCTTCACTGATTCCTTTAGAGAGCACAGGCAGAGTAGGTTTCACATAATTCTGAAGAGCCCTAGGATTTTCAGAATAATAAATAAACATTGGCTTCAACTTATAGTCACCAACTACTGGAGTCCCTAACGAGAGAGTCAGCCTGTCCTTTGAAGTTTTAAACCCAGGCATTGCCTTCTGCTCCCTAGCTATGAAAATCCTGGACAGCATCATGTTCCAATATAAGGCTGTTTCATTTATATTGAAAATCTGTTGTTTAGTGTAGCCACCTTCATCAGTGATCTTAGCTAGATCTTCTGGATAACTTGCTGCAGCTTCTACATCAGCGCTTGCTGCTTCACCTCGCACTTTCACATTACGAAGATGGATCCTTTCCTTAAACCTCATGTACCAAGCACCGTTAGCTTTAAACTTTCCTTCTGCATCTTCCTTACCTCTCTCTGCCTTTTTAGAATTGAATAAATTAGATTCTTACTCTGGATTGGGCTTTGGCTTAAGGGAATGCTGTGGCTGGTTTGATCTTCCATCCACACTACTCAAATTTTCTCCATGTCAGCAATACAGTTCTTTCAGTTTCTTGTCATTCATGTGTTCACTGGAGCGGCGCTGTTGATTTTCTTCCAGGTCTCTTCTGCATTCACAACCTGGCTAGCCATTTGGTGCAAGAGGCCAGCCTTTGCATTGTCAATGAGTAGTCCTATTTTGAAAGAAATCCTTTTTTTTTTTTTTTTTTTTTTCTGAGCAGTAGGCCTCAATAGTGGGCTTAGAGTATTCAGTAAACCTTGCTATAAACAGATGTGCTGTCATCCAAGCTTTGCTGATTTCTTTAGAGAGCACAAGCAGAGTAGACTTCACATAATTCTGAAGGGCCCTAGGATTTTCAGAATAATAAATGATCATTGGCTTCAACTTATAGTCACCAGCTACTGATGTCCCTAACAAGAGAGTCAGCCTGACCTTTGAAGCTTTAAAGCCAGGCATTGCCTTCTGCTCTCTGGCTATGAAAGCATTCCTTCTCTAGGGAAGCTAGAAGAGGAGAGAGACGGGGTGGGTAAACATGACACAGCAACAGCCTGTGGCTAAAAATTTGAAAGGGCCAAGTGATTTAGCTGATAATTTATAAGCCGCAAATTCCATGTGCAGGATGGTGTGGCAGCCGCACACTACAACATATATCCATTTAGTTCTGCAATCAGGAGACAATGAAACATTTATTAGGTTTTAATTTCTGGGCAAACCTGGGGTTAACCTACCTAATCAAGATTTTCCTTTGCAACGTAATAAACATCACAGTATTCATTTTCATCAGCCTCTTTTATTAAAGGAATGCGTTTTTTCTCTGGCTTGCAGCCAGCCCGTAATTTTCTGGAGAGCTAGTGAGACAGATCGCGCAGAAGTAACAAACATGGGCAATTCGATCGTTTTGTATTGGAGTTTTTCTGGGACATTTTCATTTTGATCTGATCTAATATTTCATCAAAATTCCTATACTGGTTTACAATTCTTAAAGTACTTTCAACATCCCAAATTTTTAATTTGCACCAAATCTATAACATTAGAATAATGGATAACAGTAGCATTATTTTACAAATATAGATGCTGAAACTAAGAACATTGAAGAAACTTTCTGAATGTGACACAACCATTTAAAATCAGGGCACAAAGGGAAGTGAGCTCTTTTGGCTGCTAATGTAGTCCTTCTATCACGCCTTAATGCCTGAGCAAAAACAAGGAATAAATGGTGTCCACCCACAACAATGCCACTCAGATTCTGCCTTGATGTAGGAATAGTATTTATTCTGTGCCTTCTGTATACTATGCTAAGTATTATGCTCACTAAAGTGAACACAGTGAACACCTACCTGTCCTCGGGGAACTTACAGTTTATTGCAGATGATGGAGGCATAAGCAGTGCTCTGCAATGTGATATAACAACTGCTCTTATTGGGGTCACACAGGGCCTCGGTCCTGCATGATGGCAGCACATCACTTGCAAATGATGCCTCGTTGAGATGGAAAGTGTCACCCAGAATGAGTCAGGTGAGGCGTGGGCATTCAGGAATATGATAGCCGTATGTAAGGCCTCCGGGGTGGAGAGAGCAGAGCCCATCGAGAAACTGGAAGCCAAGAAGGAGTGAGATTGTGCAGGACCTTGTAAAGGTGTAAGACCGATGCCAAGTAATTTAGAATTCCTAATAAGAGAAAGAAGATTGCACTTGTGTTATTTCTAGTGGCACTGAGAACAAAGTGGTTCAAGTATGAGAGAGAGAGATAGACAGAGAGAGAGAGAGAGAGAGAGAGAAAGAGAAAGAGAGAGAGAAAGGGGAGGTTGGTCATGAGATTGGAGGCACAAGAACCAGCCAGGAGGACATTTCTGTATCCCAGTGAGTTAGTCCGTTCTCCCACTGGTATAAAGAACTACCTGAGACTGGGTAATTTATAAAGAAAAGAGGTATAAATGTGCTTCTGGTTCTGTGGGCTGTACGGGCTTCTGATTTTTGGGAGGCCTCAGGAAACTTACAATCATGGCAGAAGGTAAAGGGGAAGCAGGAACATCTTCACATGGCAGGAAAGAGACAGATTGAAGCAGGAGGCGCTACATAGTTTCGAACAACCAGATCTTGTGAGAATTCTATCACGGGAACAGCAAGGGAGGAGTTCGCCCTGTGATTCAATCACCTACCACCAGGCCCCTCCTCCAACACAGGGGATTACAATACAACATGTGATTTGGGTGGGGACAGAGAGCCAAGCCATATCACTGTGCAAGACCCAATGGCGTCCTGATGTAGCCTAGAGGAAGCTGAGAAAGTCCTTTGACCTGGGCTGTCTTCCTTACTGAATCCTCAGTCTCTGCTCAGCACCTATATTCATGTCTTTGTTGTCTCGACAGTAGAAAGAACTACATGATTCTGTGATGGGTTGGTTCTCTTTTTGGAAATATTGAACGGGTATTACTGCATCTCTTTCCGTGAGATGCAATGAAAGACAAGAAAATTCTCAAGTATCTCTGGAGAGTAGTTCAGGACTGGTCAGGGCAGAAAAGCTTAGAAAAGGCAGCCAACACCAAAGACAAAACTAAGCTACAGCATCCACACGTTGCATAGCTCCTCACCCACGGGATGTGATGCCTTTGCCATCATTCTCCCAATACACCACGCTCTTTTTTCTACACCTGCTATAGGGAATTAATGACTTATCCTTTTACATTTTTCCATCAAAATGTATTTATAATATTCCTTTCTTCATTATCCCCACTGCTGACCTCCCTCTCCCATGGAATTACTTACTTATGTCACCTCCTCTGTTGGAGTAGCATTTTATGAGCTTCATTGACTCTAGGTTCTCTTCTTCTCTACGTCTTAGTGTGAGGCCACCACATTATTCTGCACCTGGAATCCCTAGTTTGTAAATTATCAGCTGAACAAGTTGGCCCTTTCAAATTTTTAGCCAGGCTTCTATCCCAATGAATTCTATCATAATAAAACTTCTCACCAAACAACTTTCACTGGAACCCTATTCCTGAATCAAGACAAAATTCACCTAACTGACCCTGATCATTTATCTTCAATCTATCTTTCACTCAATGGTAGCCACCTTGATATGTTCAAAAAAAAAAAAAAAGAGCAGGGGATTTCCCTGCCTTTAGGACAAGCAGTCTGACTTGGGGGAAAACTGATCAGTAGTTGCAAATATTAATATTTAGTCTCAAAGATGTGTTTTATTAAGAGCTGTTGTTCTGTAGGCTGTGGCACTTCCAATAATACAAAAAGTGAACTTCATTGCAAAATGAAATAAAAACATGGGATAAAAGAAAACAAGAAACAAATAAATAGTTTGAATCAAATAAAATTCATTCTTAGATAGTAAATAGATGGGTAAAGCTGGGCTTCCACAGTCAAATTCTAAAACTAACTCCTTGCTGAAACATTTGCAAAGGCTTAAGAATTTTATGGGGGAAAATAAACTTTTCTTTCAGTGTACGCTTGAACTTTAGAAGTGAGAAAACTATTCTATTGTAGAAAAAGTGATCCAAACTGCAAAAGAGCTCATCTGAAGTTTACAGGAGAGTGACAACAGGTGATAATTAATCTAAGGCCTGCAGCCCAGGCAAACAGAAATGTACGGTCTTGAGTCTGTGATCCTTCTTTCCACCCATCCCCAGTACTTCTCTTTCAATGAACGTATTTCTTTTCCAATCACTAAACCTTATTTCCTCTTTACCCTCATTTTCCCTTCACCTTCTCTCTAAATTTTAAAACATTTTCCTTTTTCTTATATTTCCTTTCATCTCTTTCTACTAGTGAACCCTAACTGCCAGAATATGGAATGGGAGTATTTTTCTGAGTAAACACACTCGTTATATTCAGGGAACTTTTCCTTGTGTGTGACCCACAATTGATTTTTCCTCCCAAAAGACTGCAGAGCTTGGTTGAAAAGAGATTCTCACTACTATTCGAGAGAAAAGCTGAAGAAACCATCACTAACAGTTTCTTAAGTCTAGCGTATTTGGAGGAGGTGACCCTAATTTGGAAAGGCGTTTAGTTCATCTTTCTCTTTCAGTATAGCCACGAGCCATCCAAGGCTGTAGTCACTTCTCATCCTCCTCTGTATGGTGAAGATTGTCCATTCACAAGAGCAAAGCATCAGGCAGGTCCCCCCACGTTGACTTTGCCCAGGTTTCTCATTGTCTACCACCCATCACCATCCCCAGAGTCCCATGGGTTAGTGGAAACCAAAAATAGCCCAAACTGACACATTTTGAGATGCTTCTTCTTAAACAGTGATATTCAGAGCATACTTGGATTATTAGATTTTTTTTTAAAATCATAAACTTGGATGAAAACTAAAGACAACCTTTCCCTATAATTGCAGTTTTCAAAGCAGTCTCCACATGCATGATCTGATTCCATCTTCACTATGCCCTGGGAGATAGAAGGGAGAGTCACAATTACTGAGGCAGGTAAGGCCTTTGGATGCCGTGAGTGCTTCCCATTCCAAAACCCTTCTCTGCATGCCTCTGGCTCCTTCTCTCCATGCTTCTCAGGCTGTTTGTAGGTCTTATGAGCCTTTAAAAGAATAGAATGTAAGAGCAATGATACCACACAGCTCTGGGGTCTTATGGAGCCTTCAAACGGCGGCAATGACCCGGGAATTTGGATTACAGAGAGGTGGCTGTTTTCTTTTTATTTGGTTTACTTTTCATGTTCCTTTTGGATTTCAATTACCCATGATATTTCTGCTCTACTGATTAAAACAAAACAAACAAAAAACCTAAGAGGTAGGTATGTGTCTTAGGGGGTATTATAAAAAAGTATGAATATGTCAGGGGATTCATAAACCTCGGGGATACAGGATTTTACTCATCACCCCTAGAGGCAAAGACGGGGATGTTCTTTCAGTACCTAGCTAGAGATATTAATTTGCCATTTGCACTTTTTTTTTTTTCAAATTTCCCTGGGTACAATAATAAGGGTGCTTGTAAAATATGCAGCACCCCCCAGGCTGGTCTCCTGGAGGTTTTCGGTCAAGGAATCTTGGATGGAGCCTGTGGAATGCACGTGTTAGCTACCCCATGTTATTCTCTGTAAAAAACAATTTCAAGAAGCGGTGCTATAAACACCATACCTGCAATATGGACACCGTGAGCACACAAGTCAGGTGAATTCAAGCCAGAAAGTATCTGCCCCATCTACCTGTGGATGTTGATGCTCAGCTCCCAACAATGCATACAGATGACACTTTTTCCAGAGAAGCAAGAGAGATGTCAGAAATGGAAGCAGTCAGGCTTCTCTCTAGCTTGGCGGCACATAAAGAACTCAGCGCCCGCCATGGGGAAGCCTCCTGCACCACCTGTGACAATTATCTTCCGCCCACATGCAGGTGGTGTGTGATATTCTTTGTTACACACAGAAGAAAATGGTGATACTTAGTCTCAGTAATTGCTTTTTGGCTGCAGAATTGGAAGCTGAAGATGGTAGCAGAGGTGAGTTCTTGGCCAACGTCCACTCTTCCGAACTGCACATCTGGTCTCCCAACTTGCATGTCATTACCAACGCAGGTGAGAGCACTAACGTGCTGAAGTGCTGAGACCCAATGGTAAAAATCTCCCAGACTCCCCCATGGAAGGATGACAATGCCACCTTTGTACAATTAGAGCGCAGTAGTTGTAAACTGAACGCTTGTACTTAACAAATACATTTCAGCTTCTTTCACTATTTGGTGTTTTTTAAAAAGCTAAAGCCTGTTTTTAATACATAGGGTGATGACATTCACCTGAAAATGTTTATCATGTTCAGATACACCTGCCTAGTAGTAAGAGAATAGCTTGTGGAAAGAGACCCCCATCACAGAAAAACAATTTTTTTTTCAGATGGAGTCTCACTGTGTCACCGAGGCTAGGGTGCAGTAATGCAATCTCGGCTCATGGCACCCACCACCCCTCAGGCTGAAGCAATTCTGTCTCAGCCTCCCAAGTAGCTGGGATTACAGGCATCCACCATTATGCCTGGCTAATTTTTTTTTTTTTTTTTTTTTTTTTTTTTTTGAGATGGAGTTTTGCTCTTGTTGCCCAGGCTGGAGTGCAACGGCGGGATCTCGGCTCACTGCAACCTCCACCTCCTTGGTTCAAGAGATTCTCCTGCCTCAGCCTCCCAAGTAGCTGGGATTACAGGCATGTGCCACCATGCCCGACTAATTTCATATTTTTAGTAGAGACCGGGTTTTTCCATGTTGGTCATGCTGGTCTCAAACTCCCGGCCTCAGGTGATCCACCGGCCTCAGCCTCCCAAAGTGCTGGGATTAGGCGTGAGCCACCACATCTGGACCAATTTTTATATTTTTAGTAGAAATGGGGTTTCACTGTGTTGCCCAGGCTGGTCTCGAACTCCTGTCCTGAAGTAATACTCCCACCTTGGGATCCCAAAGTGCTGGAAATACAGGCATGAGCCACTGAGCCCAGACCCATCAAATAAAATGTAATTGCACCAACCTTCTTAAAGATTTAAAGGCATACTGTGATTGGTCAACACATACCAAGCAATGCAAAAATCAGTAAAGACTTTGCTCTGATTTTATTGTATCATTCCATTCTTTTATTGAGAGTTATCTAGGTTAGATCTAAGATAGAAAATTAGACCAGGCAAAAAGAATGGTTTCCAAGACAATGGCAGTGGTTTAGACAATTCACTCTATTTTAAGGAACTAAGACATTGAGGTGACCTTCAGCCCTGGTCTGAGTACCTTATGCTGTCATGATTGCCTTGGAATGCCAGGAACAATGCCCTCCCCCTACCAAGGCTGACCTTGGAATCAGCCTTTTGAGCTGGACACCATGATCTTCTCTGGAGTCTTCCAGCAGGTCATTCAATCCCAGCCCAAATCCATCCTCTCTGATGTGGTTTGGCTGTGTCCCCCTGAAAATCTCATCTTGAATTCCTATGTGTTGTGGGAGGGACTGTGGGAGGTAACTGAATCATGGAGTGGGTCTTTCCATGCTCTTCTCATGATAGTGAATAAGTCTCATGAGATTTGATGGTTTTATAAGGGGGAGTTTCCCTGCACAAGCGCTCTCTCTCTTTGCCTGCTGCCATTCCATGTAAGATGTGACTTGCTCCTCCTTGCCTTCCACCATGATTGTGAGGCCTCCCCAGCCATCTGGCACTATGAGTCCATTCAGCCTTTTTCCTGTATAAATTACCCAGTCTCAGATATGTCTTTATGAGCAGTGTGAAAACAGACCAATACACTCTCTGACTGCCATTACTTGATGGTTAATGTAGTATAAACAGGATTTTCACCTTTTCTAAAGGAGTGTTAATTCTCTGTTCTTGTCACTTCATAGCATAGGTTTTAATTCTACCCATCTTTTATAACTTTCTATTTTGACCTTCATTTTCCTCTTGACAGCCATCCTTCTAATGTCTATCTTTTCTTTTCAACATATTAACTGAAGCATATAAAATCCTGGCAACACAAATACCTTTACAACCCTCAATACTTGAGACAGTTTTACTTCTGAGCCCACATAACTGAGGCCAGGAAGAAATGTAGGCACCATCAGCTTGCACCCCTGTGCATCCCCAATCAATTTTTAATTGTCATCTATGATTTCCATGACATTTCTCCACACTCCTTTATAATTTTGGCACCTGATTCATCGCAAGCATTCTCAGTAGCATTTATAATGAGAAGGAACCCAATCCAGCACAAGCCTGGCACTTCCTTCACTACCCTGTCTTGAAACCTTTCATTTTCATGAAACCTAGACCGTTAGATGTTCCCGTTGTTTCTTGTCTTCTCATCACCCACCTTAATTTTGGTTCTTATCATCATCCAAAGGCAATGTGCCTTTACTACTATTTCACTGCATGGATTTTCTATCCTCCCTCACACACACACACACACACACAGCATATATAGTGCTTATAGTCCTTTGCCTTCTTCAGAACCTCTGTTTTTTCACCCACCATTTCTCTTCCTGATCTAACTCCCACTGCTTGGCTTCACCCTCCTCCCTCCTGAGACATGACTCCAGCTGCACTGTTTTAAATCCAGGCTCATTGGCATCTGGGATTCTAGTGCCCACATTAACATTCTTTAGCAATAAGCACTGCATGTCTGAATCATAAAAGGATCACACATCTTAAAGAGTATTCTGTGAAGAAACGCAGGTTTCGCAAAATGAAATGGCTAGGCTACAGCATGATGTGATAATTTGTAAAACTCTTCTTGATAGAATTCTTTCTAATGTCTCTGTAAATCTTCTAATACACATAACCACAAGACACAATTAAATAAGTGAGTTTATTAGAGGCATTGAGATGAGAGGGAGAGAGAGAGAGAGAGAGAGGACAGTGTTAGGATCAGCAATGAAAGATGTCCTTTACAGAGAAGTGCAGCTGAGAGCTTTTATTTTCTCCAGCCTCCTTTCCCTCCTCCCACAAGTCTCTAGGGCTCCCTGCTCAAAGGCTCGGAGTTACCACCTGCCATCTTCGATCAACCTCATTGCCTCTCGAGCGGTGCTGCAAAGCCACTTGACTGTTTGGGCTCCCAAACTCTCCACAGCAGCTCCTGTGCTTATCCTCTTCAAGTTTAGTTCCAAATCATACTTGGACAACTGGTTATTGCTTTTTCTACAGTCAAGTCTCAAAACTACAGAAAAACACAGGAAGAATTTGTCTGTGTCCATCACCAGAGAATATTCTCATTTTGTCAAACGTTTTAGCACACTTGGGTTCTAATGTCAAAGCTTATGTTGCTCATAGAGCAACAAAGAGAAGAGTTTTTGTTTATTTTGTTTTCAGGTGTTTTGTTCTTTTCATTTCTGTGCATCTTCCTGAATAAAGAGGGTTACTGCTGTGTGCACCAAAATGCTACCTCTCACCAACAGGTGATCCCACTTCATCATAGTGCATCAACCCCGCCATAGATAAAAGGAGGCCATTAGGACAAAATCCAACTGCATTTCTAGTTTTCATTAGATAATGACATTTTGGAGAGTACATTTGTTTACTAACTTGCTGACTTGTTGATCTGACTCTAAGAATTACTCTTCTATTTTTTTTCTGCAATAGTAACAAAAACTATTGACCAAAACTTAATGTATTAATGTATTAATTTACTGACCAAAAATTAATTTCTTTTTACTTTATTCAAGTAATAAAATGCCAATATCTGCCAAAGAAAGTGTCTGACCAGCATGTGAAAAGGTTGTGATGAAATCTGTTGATGTAGAAGTGTAATGCTTTTGACCAGAAGTTGAGCATTTCCATTCAGGTTTTTGAGTTATCTGAAACAGAAAGAAGATACCTAAAGAAGCTTTATGGAATCCCATAGTTCTGGGTAGTCCCAATAAGGATGCCCTGAAACAAAGAAAAGACATTAGGGCCAGGCGCGGTGGCTCACTCCTGTAATCTCAGCACTTTGGGAGGCTGAGGAAGGTGGATCACGAGGTCAGGAGTTGAAGATCAGCCTGGCCAACATGGTGAAACCCCGTGTCTACTAATAATACAAAAATTAGCACTGCGCAATGGCAGGCGCCTGTAATGCCAGCTACTCGGGAGGCTGAGTTGGGAGAATTTCTTGAACCCACATGGCAGAGGTTTCAGTGACCTGAGATTGTGCCACTGAACTCCAGCCTGGGCCACAGAGTGAGACTCCGTCTCAAAAAAAAAGACACTAAGTTCCCCATTATTACTCTTGAGTGTATTGTTGGTTATTTTTCCTGTGTGCTTACCAGAATCTCTCATTCAGTATCTACTGCTCTCGTATGAAATGCCAGGAACTTTTCTAAGTTCTGAGGACTCAGGGAGTCAAATATATCCTTAGGAATTAAAACAAAACAAAACAAATACAAAAACAAGCATGGTGATCAATCTCTCCCTTGTTCATACATCTAGGTTTCAACATGGTCAGTGAAAAACACACTGAGAGGCAAATCTGAATGTGAAAACAATCTTCATTTATCTTTTGCAATAATTAACATAAATCAATTGCATTTGAAAAAAGCTATATATCTTGAAGGCTAAAATAGAATATTTTCTTTTCTTTTATTATTATTATACTTTAAGTTTTAGGTACATGTGCACAATGTGCAGGTTAGTTACATATGTATACATGTGCCATGCTGGTGTGCCGCACCCATTAACTCATCATTTCGTATTAGGTATATCTCCTAAAGCTATCCCTCCCCCCTCCCCCCACCCCACAACAGTCCCCAGAGTGTGATGTTCCCCTTCCTGTGTCCATGCGTTCTCATTCTTCAATTCCCACCTATGAGTGAGAATATGCGATGTTTCGTTTTTTGTTCTTGCAATAGTTTACTTAGAATGATGATTTCGAGTTTCATCCATGTCCCTACAAAGGACATGAACTCATCATTTTTTATGGCTGCATAGTATTCCATGGTGTATATGTGCCACATTTTCTTAATCCAGTCTATCATTGTTGGACATTTGTGTTGGTTCCAAGTCTTTGGTATTGTGAATAGTACCACAATAAACATGCATGTGCATGTGTCTTTATAGCAGCATGATTTATAATCCTTTGGGTATATACCCAGTAATGGGATGTCTGGGTCAAATGGCATTTCTAGTTCTAGATCCCTGAGGAATCGCCACACTGACTTCCACAATGGTTGAACGAGTTTACAGTCCCACCAACAATGTAAAAGTGTTCCTATTTCTCCACATCCTCTCCAGCACCTGTTGTTTCCTGACTTTTTAATCCTTTTAATGTATTTTAGCACAATACACATTCTGTGGCCAAAGTTTTGTTGTTGTTGCTGCTGTATTTTTCAAGGTCTGGTCAACAAAACCTAAAAGAATGACGGGAAAATAAACCCTTTTGATGATCCAGAGAAATATTCAGCAGCTGTGACCAGCCTCACACCATTCCGGGGTCCTCCCTGCCCATGAGAGCCTTAGAATCACTGCAATTTCTGGGACAGACAGAACTTGACATAGCTCTAGGCCAGACTCCAGGCAGATAGAGTTGCTTTTACAGGGCAATAAAGTAGTAAACATGGAGGTCAAAAAATTGAGTTTAATTACCTTAGCTCAATTTCAACATGATTGTCCTTCAAAGGTTGCCTGGCCATGAGCTGGAAACTAGACTTCCTTTTCTGTAAAGGACAAAGAGTAAAAGGAAAGATCCTATTGCAGAAAATAGTTAAAATCATATTAATGGAAGCTGGAAATTAAAATTCTGTCTTCTTGTTCAACTTGAATCTACCGAGGAACATAATTTCCTTACTGCTTCATGAAAGACGGCGGGGTGGGGGTGGGTGGTGGTCCAGAGGATATATTTGTAGTCATGAGAGCTGAAAACCCCAATCTCAACTTTGAAATCCAGAAAGCAACCGCTATTTTCTGAAATTTTGGACCCTGAAACCAAGACTATTATTTTGAAGGAAGCAGTATGACCCTAACACCTCCTAGACCACAACCTTTTGGAGGACAGATATTATATAATTTATTTCTATAACTCTAAAGTTAAATATTACCATATATGCACTTGAAATTCAGTAAATATTGTTTGAAGAAAAAATAAAAGAGGGGAAGGAAGATGTAGCTATTCAGTAACAAAATCAAGGATCATCAATTTTCACCATAGAGAATATTATAACATCTACCTTGTCTTATTACAAACGTAGTTCTAACTATGACAAAATGTTCTGCTTGTTAAGATAAACAGGGATTCTTAGTCAGAAATGAAGAACTATTTCTAAAATGTCATTCTTTCATAAAAGTATGTTGATACAAACGGTCCCTTGGTGACCAAATGTTGTTTTACTAATCAGGATGTTTGCTTTCTGAAGAGGGAGATATATAACTTCAAAATTTTTATCTAAGAATGCACTGTTGCGTGACAGATATTTATCTGGGTTTACTTTGTGGATGTGGGCCACAATGAAACTCTACTCATTATACTTCTACAACTAGTTCATTCCATTCTCAATGGTACATGACATTCATTGTAGAAATCTCTCCCTTGAGTTTTTCTAAACAGTTTTACCAGCCACCTATACTTTCACTAATAGTATTTTTACACACTTTAATTGGTAATTTAAATTTTACATGTGATTTTCTGGCATTTATAGAGTTCAAAATGGGGTTTTACTATAATTTTAGTACTAAGATATAAGATTTTGTTACTCTGCCAAAATATAAATGGTATTCATTGCTTCTACCTGAAAGACTCAGAATTCACTAATTTCCTATAATGCATGTTGTTATTAAATCCATCTTCCTCTATGATCTTTGAAAGGCTACTTTAAAAGTAGCCCAAGATAGAAACACCAAAATAAACAAAATTCAACAAGCAAAAATTCATGTGCATCATGATACACGTTTTATTTTACCTAAAAGCAAAACACGAGGACAAGCCACTTACAATTTTAAATCCATGTTCTGTTGTCTACTTTCACACCTCACATTCCAAATCATGGTCAAATGTGTTACTCTGCCCTTGTTCCATTGTTTCATAACTAGTTACATACACTTTGGTGCAAATATTGGCAGAAATTACCTCTATCGATGCATTCCTGTGTGCTGTGTTTGGTAATCATATAAACACCGTTAAAAGATTGAGCTGTATAGTTTTAAATCCATTCACAGATTTATAGTTAGAGGAAAACACATATATTAGAAGATTTAGCCAACTGACTTTGTTCTAACTATCCACGGTAAAATGTTTCTGATATTACAGCAAAGTAGAGTACAATATCTGCAAGTAAATCCTGTCAACAATATTGACCTGATTTTCAATTTTACTGCATGTCAACATAAATTGACAGTTTCTCTTCCTTTCCTTTTCAACAGCCTACTGTCAGCTTAGAATTCTGTCTGGAGCCAATACAGTCCTTCAAAAAAACAATTTCGTATTATATCACAAAAGCTCCATTAGCTCATTTAATTAATGACAAGTAAAATATTGTTTCAGCTCACTAAGCAAAGCCTACATTGTAAGGCAATTACTTTCTTCTTCTCTATGAGAAGCAGAGATATCATGGTCAACTGGAAAAAAATCACAGAAGTCTCTAGAATATCTTAGAATTTCCAATGTTTTATCTCTTGACATCTCTTATAATAGTGATCTTAAGAAGAACTGAAAAGGGAAAAACAAAGGAATGTACCTTAAAAATATTAAAGATTTTGTTTTTCATTCTTAGTCAATTTTTGGGATAATTCAAAATTGAAATAATAATAACTGCTAGGGGCAGGAGGAAGATTACTTTATAGAATATTGTAAAACATAAAAAAGAAGAAGATATATATCCTGAGATACAAAGGAATAAATATTCAGCTTTAGACTCTCACATTAATTAATTTTCAAATGTTTTGCCAAATATCTAGTTTTCAGCTACTTTTACATCCGCTATCACCAAACACAAACACAATGTGTGTGTATATTTTTCTTCTTTTATTCTGTGATTTCAAGTTGAATTCACTTATACTATTAAATGATTCCCAGATGGAAGTTACTTGTGTCCTAAAATTACAAACATTAATATGAGTTTGTAATACTGAGAAGATGCTTAAATATATATATAAATAAATGTGTACATTTATATATATTTAAATATATGAATAAATGTATATATAGTAAATACATATAATGAATATGTATACACACATATATATTTAAAAATATATATATACATATTTAAGCCAACTCATCACAATAGACAATTAATATATTAAGAAAACTAAAATATAAAGGTCACACCAAAGTGTCTTTAAACTTTCTAGATATTGGGTTTGCCATGGAAACTGAATAGCAAAATAAGAAAAGGCTTATGGAACACAAATTACAGTTGCCTTGAGTTTGCAGCAATTTTCAAAACATCCTTGAAAAATACCCATTTTTTTTTTTTTTTGGCAACAAAGTGCATGGGGTTTTAGCTCTTCAGTAAGGTAATACCCCCTTTTCTGCTGACAGCCCTTTATATGGGATTATGTTTCACGGCAGGTACATAACTTAAATACATGCACTTATTCATAGAGGAAAACAGTTTTGTAAGCTATTAATGTTATATTCCTTGCTGTGATAAGAGCACTTAAGATACCTGAGAAAAAATATATTTGGAAATGACCTGGAAGAGTTTCCTTTGTCTGTAATCTTTGCAGGCTGGCAGTTACTTTCTGCTGACTCTTAGCTGTTCCCTCACTGCAGTCACTGCAAGCAGCCTGGTGCAGTCCAAAGGGAGCAGAGCTGGAATAGGAGCTCAAGGTCAGAGGTCTAGCTCCAGGTTTCCCACGGATGCCTTCAGTGACCTTGGTGTGGGGAGGCAATATTATTACTTTCAGTATTCTCATCTGAATATTTGCAAGTGGAAGGACAAAGAGGGGCAGGAAAAAAAAACCCTCCAAGTTTCATTTTCATTTTTAATATGTAAGATTATGTAAAATCAGCTGACTGCAGTGGCTCACACCTATAATCCCAGCACTTTAGGAGGCCAAGGCAGGAGGATTACTTGAGCCCAGAAGTTTGAGACCAGCAGCCTGGGCAGTATAGTGAAACCCCATCTCCACAAACAAATATCTTTTTTAAAAGGTTAGCTAGGCATGGCGGTGCATGCCTGTAGCCATAGCTACTCAGGAGGCTGAGGGAGGAGAGCTGCTTGAGCCTGGGAGGTCAAGTCTGCAATGAGCCATGACCATGCCACTGCACTCCAGCCTGGGTGACAGAGCAAGAACCTATCTCCCCTCCCAAAAAAATTATGGAAATTATTCGCTGGAGGGTAAAATGGGTAAAACCTAGCATTTTTTTCTTCCTTTTCGAGCAATAATCCTACTGTACCATTTCAGTTCAAATGACCATAGGCCTAAAAGAAACCAGAATGTTGTAACCATTTTAAAGATGGCAAAGAGAATGCATCTAGTATTGAGAAGGCAAACACTAGTAAATTAATAGTAAATATATAATAGAGATCAAAACGGAGTAATCATAGAAAAGTCACTCATGTTTAAGATGCAAGGGCTTTACGTATGAAACTGTGATGCTTAAGTGATATCCTACAACATAAAATCTTCTCCACCTTGTCCAGCCCTCAGTGTGTGCCCTAAAGTAGCATGATTGATCTCCCTTCTAATTTTATCACTGTTAATGGCATTGCTGATGTTCTCCCTGTTGTAATTCTTGTTTGAAGATTCCTGAGTCTTAATAACGTGTGGCAGGGAGTTCTACACTTTAATTATAAGACATCTCATTAGCCACATTCATCTATTTCAGATGTGTTTCTTTTAAGCCTACATTTTATAATCTTTTCAAACAGCAGCTACCATGAAGGCCTTTTAGGACGAATGAATTAAAGAACTTTTATAGGACAAGTCTGGGTTGCTGCAAGAAAGTCAGCATGCCGAAGACAGAAGAAAGTGCACAAGCACACTTGCTTTGCTTTGCATATTGGAAAGACCTCAGGCTAAGTGCTTATTGAACAGGCCACGCACATTATTATCTTGCTTCCTTGGGATTTTCTCCCCCAGGCACTTTGTACTTGCTGTCAGTCATATTGACAGGTGTTCCTGGGAGCTCATATTTTCACTTTTGATAAAAATGATTTACATGCTTCCTATTTCATCATCTACTGCCCCTCTGTATTAGTCCATTTTCACACTGCTATAAACAATTACTGGAGACTGGGTAATTTATACTGAAAGGAGGTTTAAATGACTCACAGTTCCACAGGGCTGGGGAGGCCTCAGGAAACTTACAATCATGGTGGAAGGCGAAGCAAGCACGTTCTTCACAAGGTGTCAGGAAGAAATAGAAAGGAGGGGAATTGCCAGGTGCATAAAACCATCACATCTCCAGAGACCCCACTCACTATCACAAGAGCAGCATGGGGGAAACCGCCCCATGTTCCAATCCCCTCCCACCAAGTCTCCCCCTCGACATGTGGGGATTATAATTTGAGATGAGATTTGGGTGGGGACACAGAGTCAAACCATATCACCCTCTTCAGTATCTTCAGATCCCACCTACAGATTATTTCTCCAAAGAAGTACCACAGAATTCTCCTTGTTTTAAGGAATGGACATAATTCCTGAGAGGATAGCCCCCTGTGGTGCTACCACTTGTCTCTTTCCCCAGAATAGTCCTGGAATAAATACCGTTAGATTTTTTTTCTCTCTTATGTCTCTCCTAACTCCCCACGGAATTAAGTATTTTTCAAACAAAGAATTGACTTGAATGACTGAATAATTTGATCTGGTTGAAAAGTGGGAATAAAGGAAGATAAGAAAACATAACACTGTTACTATCTTACATGAACTGGGGAAGTATGTTTATTCCTTAGAAACGACAGTGTAATGACACTGTTATGTAAAAGGGGGATCATAATGACGTCTACTTGAATTCATTTTGTGAAATTTAAATGACTGTCTCAGTCTATTTTGTGCTGCCATCACAGGACACCCAAGACTAGATAATTGAGAAAGAACCAAAATTTATTTCCCATGATTCTGGTGGGTGGGAAGTCCAAGATCAAAGCACCAGAATCAGATGAGAGCCTTCTTGCTGTGTAATAACATGGCAGAAAGCATCATACGAGTGAATGTGAGAGAAAGAGGGGGAAGCAGAGGACAAATTCATCCTTTTATGAGGATCCCACTCCTACGATAACAATATTAAACCATTCCTGAGGGTAGAACCCTCATGACCTAATCACCTCTTAAAGTTTCCACCTCTCAGCACAGTTGCATTGGGGATTAAGTTTTCAACACACAAACTTTGGGAGAAACATTCAGCACATTGTTACCACAGCAATGAGATACTCTATTACCCGATGACAGCAGTGTGCCTGACAGACAGACAATACTTATTAGTAGTAACTATTTATATTTACAAGTTTCTTTCTCCATAGCCTGTTATAACAAATCCAATCTACTGAGAGCCATAACTATGTACTTTACAAGTTCCTTGATATTCTTCGGCTTCATATTTTCTGAATTCAGGTGTTCTTCCTGAAATGATATTCTTCCTAACATTGGGTGACTGATAATCACCAAATCTCATTCAAACAATAACACATACTGCAGTGTTAGAGCCAGAGGCCAGTGATGGGAGGTCCTAATGTAGGGCTTCACAGAGCTTTCTATCTGCATACTGCCCTAGCATGGGTTGATTCTAGACAGTGCTGAGCAGAGAAAAATGCGGATAGGAGGAGATCTAGGAAAACACACCCTCACACTCACTCAGATGCACAGCATCTGTCTAAACAAATTGATCGTGCATGTCCTAAAATATTGTTCCTGAAATATTGAAATATGGATGGGCTATTTCTAAAATATTTCTCATGTGCTTTTCAACATACTTGCAAAGCTGTAATGCATGCTTTCTTTTATCTCTCAAAGTAATAGAAATGAGATTAGAGCTTTTCTGCAGGTCTATCTTGTTATAAGTTATGTCACCCAGATATTTGTAAAAAAGAAAGAAAGGAATCCCCAAATATATTCCATCAGGAATCTACCGTATAATCTAGACCCTAAATGGTCTCTTTAAAAATATCAATGAGATTTTAACAGACCAATTTCAAACCTTTTCCTGGACTTTTTTTCAATACATGACTACAGGTTTCTTAGTTCCATCCCAGAGTACATATGTTCTCATGGGCATTCACTCATTTGTTCTTTTTTTTTTTTTTTTTTTTTTTTTTATGAGACAGGGTCTTGCTCTTTCACCCAGGCTGGAGTGCAGTGGCATGATCGCGGCTCCCTCCAGCCTTGACCTGCTGGGCTCAATCGACCTTCTGGTCTTAGCCTCTCTGGTAGCTGGGACAGGCACATGCCACCACATGCAGCTAACTTTTGTATTTTTTGTAGAGATGAGGTTTTGTCATGTTGCCCAGGCTGGTTTCAAACTCCTGGACGCAAGCTTGAGCCATCACAGCCAGCTCATTTATTCTTATTTTTGATACCAGGTATGGTACATCTCAAATAGTATGCTAAGAAATGAAGAATGAAAACAGACATGATCCTACCTTCAGGATGTTAAGGCCTGGTGGTGGAGAGATAAATATAATCAAAGTGTCAAATAAATAAAAGTAGAATACATCACTTTTATAATGCTATGAGAATATACAATAGGTATTGTTGACCTATTCAGATGCCAAGACTTGCTCACCTGAGACAGTGGATTAAGCACAGGTCTGAAATGTAAATATGAGTGAACTAAACAGTGAGAGGGCATCTTACCAGACTTTTTTCCTCCAAAAGTCAAGGTGATGCCTGTAGCAGAAGAAAAGGGCCAATGAAGGATGACTGTGGTTTCTCTGAGGAGAATGTGGTGGCAGGGCAGGTGAGTAGAAGGGAAGACACAAACCAGGTGAGAGAGACAATTATGCCTAGGACAATTAACAAGGGCATAGATTTAATAGAGGAATTCAAAAGGGTTTTAGGAAGAGATTTTTAAAACAATGATTCCCAAATTCTGGCTTCCATTAATGAATACTCTTTTTTTAAAAAATTCAAGGTGGCAGGGACCCCTCCAAAAAACACAACAGGAAGATTCTGAATTTATTAATTCAGTCAGTTCAACACCAAGTTTAACCTTTACTTCTCTGGAAGCAGGGTGTCAGCCCCCACATGGCTGGCCGTGTTCTCAGAACCTGGCTGTCTGTTTATGTCAGGGTTGGGACTGGCTGTGATGAACCTGGGAGTAACTGAAGCTTTGTGAACAGAAATTGAGGATGATGTAATTTGCTTCTCTAGAATTTTCTCAAGCTGTGTTTTATTTTTTCCTCCTCGATCATTCCCCTTTAATATCTGGAATAGTTAGTGGGGTAGTTTTAATTCTGCATTAATTTCCTATTGTTGTAGGTCAGAAGTCCAATATAGGTCTTGGTGGGCTAAAATAAGTTACCTTCTTTTATGGAGGCTCTAGGTGGGGATTTGTTTCCTGTTCATCTGGGCTTTTGGCAGAATTTCATTCCTGGGGGCTATGGAATCCAGCTCCCCATTTTCTTGCTTAGTGTGAGCTGAAGGTCATTCCCAGTTTTTTTGTAGTGCTACCATCCTTGGCTCTTGTCTCCCTACCTGCATCCTCCAAGCCAGCAACATTGCATTTTTCTGACCATTCTTCCATAGTCACATTTCCCTCTGATCTCAACTAGAAAAGTTTCTCTAATTGTAAGGACACTTGCAATTAGATGAGTTCCACCTAATCACAAGGTCCCCATCTGAGGGTCCTTAATCTTAATCCCATCTGCAAATTCCCTTCTGCCATGTAAGGTAATATAGACACAGGTTCCCTATGTTAGGGTGTGGATAACTTTAAGAAATCATTGTACCGTTTTTATCTACCACAACGTTTTACTCCTCACTGCTGTTCCCAATTAATTTTCCCTCACTTCTAAATCTTTCCAGCTTTGCAACAAGAAGTGAGTGCGCAATATAAACTGATGACATGGGATTCATCAAACAACAAAATCTCAGGTTTTTCCTCATTTTCATTTCTTGAAAATATTAGATTCCTTTGCTCTGTCCACTTGTACCTGGCCCTTGTCTTTCAAATGTCTTGGGTCATCCCCTTTCTAAACTATCTAATCCCATGGTCATACCCTTAGTCCTTATCATTGCCAAATTCTTCAACCCCTTCATAATTTCACTGACAGCAATATACTCTCTTACTACCTCCTTCTGTCTTCCAATCTTACTCTCACTTTATCTTGATATCACTAATGGGTCAACATCTCCAAGACCACTAAACCATTGTGCAACCATCTCTTTATTGTCTTTCACATCTCTCCTTTCTCAGCTTAAACTTTAGGAAATATAATTACAAATGTGAACTTCACTCTAAAACCCTTGCCCTTACATGCCTTCTTGATTGTCAACACCCCAACCCTTGTTAAGCCCACCCTTCTGTCATTCTATGCCAGTGTTAGTTCAGGTGCATGCCAAAGGAGACAGAAACACATGATTGACATGCCTTAAATATATGACTTAACCTCAGTGAACCCTCAGCGTATTGCTCAGTGTTTGAAGCCATTGGCAGAAACCTTCCGTGAAGTCTGCTGTTATATGAGTTCACCAGTTCTCTCTTCATTCTGTTACTAAAAAGCAACTTCACACTACTATTCCTATCTAAAAAAACTACTTCCATTTATAAATAAAAGCCATTCCTTAGTCAGGGCTCTCTATAGAAACAGAATAGGTTATGTGCATATTATATATGATATGCACATATCATATATATGTCATATAGGTTATAAGATATGTATAAGTATACAAGTACTCACACATACACAGAGAGATATATGTTAAGAAATTGGCTCATGCAGTTGTGGCTGATGAAAGGGCAGTCTGGAGGTAGAATTCCCTCTTCTTTGGGGAACTTAATGCTTGTTCTCTTAAGGTCTTTATCTTCCTGGATGAGGCCCACTGATATGATTTGGCTGTGTCCCCACCCAAATCTCATCTTGAATTCTAGTTCCCATAATACCCATGTGTCATGGAAGGGATCAGGTGGAGATAATTGAACGATGGAGGTGTTTCCCCCCATCCTGTTCTCAGGAGAGTTTGTTCTCAGGAGATCTGATGGTTTTATAAGGGGCGTTACCCCCTTCTGTTTGGTTCTTCTCCTTGCTACCACCATGTAAGATGTGACTTCACTCCTTGTTCACCTTTCACCATGATTGTGAGGCCTCCCCGGCCATGTGGAACTGTGAGTCCCTAAAACCTCTTTATCTTTATAAATTACCTAGTCCTGTGTATGTCTTTATGAGCAGCATGAGAGCATACTAATACACCCACAAACATAAGAATAATCTGTTTCACTTAAACTACACCAGTTTAAACATGAATCACATCCTTAAAATACCTTCACAACACCTAGACTAGTGTTTGGCCAAATATCTGGGTACCATGGCCTAGCCAAGCTGACACATAAAACTTACAGTCTCATTACCTATTAAAGAATATTGGTCAAACAATATAGCTCCTCTCCCCAAATCAATTTTTTTTCCTAAGAGTTAAAAAATATTTGACCTCACTTCCTTCTCTATCTACTGTTCAATCTTTCTATCACCATTTACAGTAAAATTCCTTGATCATTTTACTTTCTTCATTCCTACTCCTTCCCTCACACAGGTCAGTCTTTTGCTCCCAACATTACACCAAAACTGTTGTGTGTCAAGGTGACCAACATCTCAAAGTCTAGGCTTCATTTCATTTCATTTCACCTGGGTTTCACAGGGATACACACTCCTTGTTCATTTGTTAGCCAGACAACCGGGACAACTTTACTTGATTTTCCTCTTCTCTTGCTCTGACACCACTCCTTAGTGTCCTTTGCTGAGCCTTTCTCCCCGATCTGACTTCCTAATTTTGGAGACTCATAGACCATGGTCTTTGGACCTTTTCTACTTGGTGAGCTCATCTGATTGCTTGCCTTAAAGACTCCTTGTATGTGGGTGTCTCCCATATTTACATTTTCAGTCTAGGCTTCTCCTTGGATTCTATACATTTAACAGTAAACAGTAAATCCTCTGGACCAGTTTGGCTGAGGCCAAAAACCCTGGGCTTCCTTAATCCCTGTCTTTCTCTCCTACCTCTTACTTGATCCTTCAGCAAATCCTGTCAACAAAGTCGCTAGAATGAAGCGCTGAGGGCAGACTTTCTATCTTTTCATGCCCTGACCACTTGGAAGACTTCTAATCTGAGAAAAAGGTTAGCACATTGAAAATATTTCCTGCTGCACTGAACACTTTGTGTTAAAATATTATGCATTAAAACCAAGACAGAGAAAACACAAGTAAAAGCAGTTATAAAAGACTTTTTTTATGAATTGGATAAACTTGAGTATGAATTGAATATTAGATAGTACTATGTCATCGATAATAATTTTCTGGTTTGTGGTTAAGTTATACACAGAAGTACTCTTTCTCAGGAGATAGAGGCTGAAATATCATGGTATCTACAAATGGGTATCAACTGGTTCATCCATATATTTTTATGGATATATGTGTATGAGCACAAAGAAAGTCAAAACATATGCAGCAAAATATGTTAAGAATTTGTGAATGCTGCCGAGAGCGGTCGCTCACAACTGTAATCCCAGAAGTTTGGGACGCTGAGGCGGGTGGATCACCTGAGGTCAGGGGTTCGAGACCAGCCTGGTCAACATGATGAAACCTGTCTCTACTAAAAATACAAAAATTAGTTGGGTGTGGTGGTACACACCTGTAGTCCCAGCTACTAGGGAGGCTGAGGGAGGAGAATTGCTTGAACCCAGGAGGTGGAGGTTGCAGTGAACCGAGATGGTGCCACTGGGCAGCAGAGCAAGACTCAGTCTCAAAAAAAAAAAAAAAAAAAAAAAGAAAAGAAAAAAAAGAAAAGAAAAAAGAAAAAAGCATTTATGAATGCAGGAAAAAGGCATATCTGGTCATCATCATAACATTCCTTTCTAGATGTTTAGATTATTTTCAAACTAAACAGTAAAAGGAAAATGTATTCAGAATCAAACTCTTCCTGAAAATACCATGACTACCACGCTGGTCAAAGGTGGCATCAACTGTAGCCCGAGTCACTATAAAAAGCTTCTAACTAGTCTTCCTTATACAGGCCTTGCCCCTTTACACTTCATAATCTATTCATGTCAATGATCTTTTAAAAACATGAACAGCATCATGTAATTCTCTTGCCCAGAGCCATAATTCACATTTACAAGGTCTCATATAATCTGATCACTTCCATCACCAGGCTCCCATCCCCTCTCTGACCTAATCTCTCTGTCTCTTGTTCACTCCACTAAAACCATATGAGTTAGCCTTTTCCTGGAAAACACTAGGTCTGCTCACTTCAAAGTCTTTAGATTCTCTGTATCTTCTTCCTGGAACATTCCTACCCAGGGATCATGTGGCTCTTTTCCAGTTTTCTTTAGAACTTATCTCAAGTATTTCCTTCTCATTATGGCCTTCCTTGACCCAGCTACTGGAAATCATAGCCCCTTTCAAAGCATCCCCTAATCTTCTTCCTGCTTTGTTTTTCTCTGTAATACTCATCTTCAACTGGCATATTTCATTTGCTCATTTGTTTTTCTACTCCTTCTACAATGTAAGACATTATAACAATTTTTTTTTTTTGTAAATATATTGACCACTGCACTCCCAATGTCTGGAACTGTGTCTGGAATCTGAAGGAGGGGTAAGTGTTCAACAAAGATTAGTAGAATAAATAAATGTTTTCACTCAATGCTACAGTTTGGTTGGATTGGGAAAAACAGAAACGAAAGCAGCCATGAGGATGATCCTCCTGGACCTCAGTGAAAGCAGAGACATTTTGGGTTGCATGTTCTCTGGGCTTAAAATCTGTCAAAACCTAATCATAACAGTTCTGAAATCGAGATCAAGCAGCCCTTTGTTAATGATCTTCAGTATAATTTTTGGAAGCTTCGGGAACACTTGAAGTCCGTTTGGCAAAGTTGTTGAGGTTCTGGGATTCAACATAGCTAAAAATTACGTGTCACTAAAAATTCTCTAAAAGGGATACACCTTAGGCGCATAGAAAACAGAGGTCCACAGAGAGAGGGTGTATGACCAAGACCAGGACCTGTGACCTGTGACAGGCCATTCCTGCCTCCAGCACACACACACACACACACACACACACACACAAACACACACACATCACTCCTACACACATAAATACACATCATATTCACACACACCACACACAAACCACACTCATGTACACAAAAACACACACACACAAACGCACACACGACATCCTTACACACACACACATATACCCCCCCAAGACCAAGACCTGTGACCCTCCATTCTTGTCCCGCTCCCCCACACACACACCCACGACCAGGACCTGCGACCCTCCATTCTTGCCCCGCTCCCCCACACACACACCCAAGACCAGGACCTGTGACCCTCCATTACTGCCCCCACCACACATACACACACACACAGGACATGCTCACACACACACACGCCACACACAGACCACTCATGTATACACAAATACACACATCACGTTCACACACCAAACAGCACAAATCACACTCATGTACACAAACACACACACACAACATGCTCACACATGCACACATATACCCCTCAGGACCAGGACCTGTGACCCTCCATTCCTGCCCCCACCACATACACATACATGCTCATACACACACACCCACATATAACCCCCATACATACACACCATTCATGTGAACACAAATACACACCACGTTCACACATACCACCCACACACACATGCTCACACACAACCACATCTATCATATACACGTGTACCACACACACACATGCACACCACTCATGTACACAAAAACACATACACACCACATTGACACATCACGCACACACATATCCCTCACACACACCACACTCATGTATACAAAAATACACACACGTACACATGCTCACACACACCCACATATACCACACACACCACTCATGTACACACAAATACACATGCACCACGTTCACACACACCACACATATACCACACACAAACCACACTCATGTACAAAAAAACACAGACACCACACGCATATATCCCTCACACACACACACCACTCTCATGTACTCTCACACACACTCACACACACAGCCCACACTGGTGCACACTGGAAGGCCTGTGCGTTACTTCTTTTGGAGCCTTTCTTCATAGTGAATCCAGACCCACCCTAAAAGTCAGGCCACTGTGAGGCCTTATCTGGGTTGTTCCTCCAAGCTATGTGGGTGGTTTCTAAACTCACACACCTTCGTTTCATAGATGGGTGGGAGGTTTATGTGGTGCCAGAGTCAGTTCAGAAAATGGCACTTTTATGCCTGGCGGGAGGCGTGGGAGTTCAGACAGCTCCACCTCCCTCCCGGGACAGCCTCTGAGTCTTCCTGGAACTGGCCTGCCAGTGCCAGCAGGACTTGGAAGGCGCTGATGTAATGAGCCAGGGATCTGCCCCTTGGCACCAGAGCTGCATCTTGAGATCAGCTGCTTCCTTTCTGTGCAGTGTCAAAGGCTTCCTTGAATTGCTCTGCAACGTGCCCATGACCATGTTGAAAGTCTCCCCTCTGTGGCAAGGGAAGACACCAAAATAGTTGAGGTAACTTCCATTGAGCTCACCAAAACATACGTACGGAATGGTCCCTGGAACTCTTGCATGAGGGAGAGAAAATTATACCTTGTGTCCCCACCAGGCTTCTCCCTCCATGAAATATAAAAGCTACATAATAGCGAGGCCAGATTTAAGTGGCGCTGATATACTCAGTGTTTGAGCCAACATGTACGTGATTTAAGGGCTTGGTTTTCTGCTATAAGAGCCTTCATCCTCTAGGATCAAGACGTCATCCTCTTCTTGGGTAGAGATTTCCTACTTCCAGAAACTGTCCCCCTTGTTGACCACAGGATAGATTCTAGTAGTGAGTTCGGTAGACACAGCTGAAGACTGCTTAGAGGTACAGTGCCCAGGCATCTTGATCACGGGGTCCTGAGCTCCCTGTAGGGTTCCAGTGGCTTGGTTAGGACACCAACCTGGAGCACTCCCAGGAGTCTGAGCTGCAGCAAAGGTAGGCTGTTAGATCAACACCATCAACGCTTTGCAGGTAGCACCCTGTTGTCTTTTAACCTTAGAATGAATGTTGTGTACAAGGGCATCAGCCTTGTTCTATGACTGCCAAGGACAGAATGAGGGTCAGTTCAGGAATTTTCATATTGACTCAGTATAAGAACTTTCTAACAATACTGACAGCCTGGGCACAGGTATGCTAGGTCTAACTGTGTAGCTCCCCCCACCACCTCCTGATATGAAGACCTTGAGTAAGTAAAGCTACCGACATTCATTTAAAGTATAACTTACAATGCTTTCGTCATGTGTCTCATGGGTCCTTTTGCTTAAAGTACCCTGGGGCTGGTGTGGTATTCCCACATGGAGAAGGGCCTTCCTGTGTCTCAGTGGCCCCTGGCTAGTGCCTTCCGATGTCCCTTGAAATCCTAATATTGGTTTCACAGTTTCATAACTAAGTTGTGGAAATTCTCCTTAATGAGATTCAAGACTCTGGAGAATCAGAAGGCCTCAGCTAAAATGAGGAGCTAGCTTTGGCTTCCTTCCTTTCTCCCTCTGTTCTATTAAAGACATGGGGCTATTCCTGAAGTTGCATCCTTCGGAACTTTTCACTTTACAGAATGCCTCCTCAGAAGATTTGTTGTTTATTTTTTGACTATTTATTCTTTCCCTCTCCCTCTCCCTCTCTCTCTTCCTCTCTGTCTCTTTGTCTGCCTCCATCCTGCATTTCTGTCTTATTCTATTATTAAAAAATAAAAAAGGATTGGAGATAGCTCCCAAGTACTTCATCAATTGTAAAACTCTCTAGTCACCCTCAACTTCAATGAAAATGACTTCCTTGCCTAGGTATAAATGTATTAAATTGAAAATTCACAGAATTACTCAAACATTGGATGGCACACACCATTATACTTCCTAAAGGCACCTCGTTTTAAGAGGCCTCTAGTGTCTGCCTGCGTCGGGGAATTTTCATGACGGAAAATAAGAAATCAGTTTGTTAGTTCTCCTTGGCAGCTTTTAGACTCTATCAGAAGAAAGCATTGTTCTCATCTTTGGGAACTGAAAGAAATAGGTGGGAACTCTTCCCCCTCTTCGTTGATCCTGCCAAGCCCAGCAATGTGTCCTTGGCACGGCCAGGACAGCTGGGCACAGCTCTATGCTGACCAGATCAAGCTCAATCCTCCTCTTCCTTTCTAGAACATTTCCATTTTCCTTTCCAGAATCTATCATTATTCAGCTTTCTCTAGCCAATCTTTCTGGTCCCTTGAGTACCCACTACAATCCAACGTATGCAAACATGCATCGCCTCCTTACAAAGAGGTCTGTCTTGGGGACTCAGAATGCAGGCATGCAGATTTCCCTCTTCTGGCACTGGTAGATTCATTCCAGTCTTTCTCAGCAGAGGAGAGCAGCAGGCACTGTCTCTGCTAAAGATGAGAACACATGGATACAAAGAAAGGAACAACAGACACGGGGGCCTATCGGAGCAGGAGGAGTGGGAGGAGATAGAGGATCAGGAAAAAGAACCAATAGGTACTAGGCTTAATACCTGCATGAGAAAATAATCTGTATGACAAATGCCCATGACACACGTTTACCCATAAAACAAACTTGCACATGTCCCCTTGAACTTAAGACAAAAGTTAAAAAAAAAAATTCTCCCAGTAGAAAAAAAAAAAAGATTTCAGTGTGTCTGTGGTCTGTCTGCAGGGATAGAAGAGCTGCATTCACAGAAGCTGTTCAGGCCAGTTCTCTCCTTAACACACTGCCTTCAAAGTGGGTCTCAAAACACTAAGGTCCTGCTGAGGGCACTGTCTCTTGAGCCATGTGACCTGCATAAGGGCACGTGGATGGAAGTGAGCTCCAGAAGGCAAGAGTACAGAGAGAAATCAGTGCAACATTTTTGTGTGTTTTTCAGAGACAGATGAAACAACAGTGTCTATGCAGCAACAACGTTTATACAAGGAAACAAAGACAAGGTCGGACTCATGGTTGCTCCCTCATATAGGAAGAATATTCTGTGAAGAAATGCTGAAATCTGCTCTACGTGGCTCCAAGATCCAAACCAGAGTCAAGGCAGAAATTAGAGAAGTGAAAGCCACTTCATGAATAAACAAACCTATCAGCCATTTGAACTACCTCCCACTGCGGTGACTTAGTGGCTGCTTTGTCACTGCAGTCATTCAACCAGCAGTTAGAAAATTATTCCTGGAGATATTATAACTACCATCCTTAAGACTACACAACTTCAGATAAAATTTATTTTAGAAGACGTGTTCCCTGAGACCATATAATTCCAACCACTTCATCAATGTCTCCATTGCATCATCCTAGCATCTGATTTTGATGAACAAGCATCTTTTCATCTTGCTGTATGTGGCAGGCAGTGTTCAGAGGTAGTTTGGAAGGGTAATTAGGTGCAAACATTATTTGCAGAATTACTGGCAGTCTCAGCCCACCTCTGTTGGTTTCCCTCGGGTCCTTACCACTCGCTACTGCACAGAGCCACCATGAAAGCTCTGCCAAGGCCCTAACAAAACACCTGGTGCACCTGCCCATCTGGAGCTCTGGAAGAGGCAGGGAAGCTGAGTACCCCAGGTCACTACGTCCCTGTATCACTCACATCGCAGTGGATCACAGTGTCTCTTTCATTGTACAGGTCGGGGTTTCTGAAGACAGTATATGTTATGACTTTGATGGTACAAGGTGTATTATCCTCTGGTGCATTTAACTTCTCATCCAGCAGAACCTCTGGCACCCGCCACCCTGCCTCAAATCTCCCCACTTCCCTGAGCCCCAAGCTATGCCATGTCGTCAACCATCTCACCAGGCCAGGCTTTTAAAGACTGGTCCTGGTTATTTACTCCGGATTTACTTGAACATCTTGTGTTTAGATTTGACATTCTTTTGATGCTTAGCTCACAGCCTCTCTTAGATATAAATCAATGCACAGCTTTACTTTCCCCCAAATTCCATAAGTTCAGTTTTTAATAGTCACCCAAACACATGTGTATGACGTTGCTTTTTAAAAGAAATGTTATTTTATGGAATGGTTAAGTCTACCTAATTAATATATGCATTTCTTCACATACTTACCATTTTTGTGGTGAAGGGAGTTAACATTCCCTCTCTTTCTATCTTTCGAGAATATAATGTATCATCATTAACTATAGTCACCTTACTGTACAATAGATCTCTTAAAATGTATTCCTTCTACTTCAAGACATCTTGTACATGATACAAATATACAATAGTATCTGTCAATTTAGAAAATAAATTTAAAATAAAAATTAATAGAAATGTTACTTTTACTGGTGACTGGATCCCGTGATTAAATTTTCCCCAAGCCAGATTTTGACTTGAAAAACAATAAGAAAAAAAATAAAATAAAACTTCTCTTTATACCCTTTCTCACTTAAAAAATGCATTATTCTCTGAAGGCCTGTGATTGTGTATTCTCAGATCAATAGGAAAAAATTCAATAAAACACAGGAGGGTATAACAGCCTTTAGGAAATGTGCATTTTTTAAGACGTCCATCTTAAAAGGTTAGACCCAGGACATTGAGACCATAAGCACTAAAAGAAAAAATTGTGATAGAGCAGGAAAAAGCCAATAAACTGCAGGATTAGGAGAGCTAGTATAAATAATTACAATTGCTCTCTGATTGAATCCGAATTCTTTCCTCTAAAATCCATGACTAGATTTTGTTTCTAAGAGGATTCTCCTAGAAAGTTAGTGGCAAAAGCTTCCTTTATTGACTTTCTTATTGGGCTCAAGTAACTATATGTACCCATGATATTAATGCATTTATTCATACATACATAGCTACACAGTTATTATATGAGGTATCCTGAGGGGTATTTTTTTTTTCAATTTGTTTGCATGATATAGTTTAAGTGTCTCTCAATTTTCTGACATTATCTCCAAGAAAAAGCAATTACTCAAGAACAAGAAAGTAATATAAAAACTGAAGAAGGAGACTGTTTTCAGTCATGTTAAACACTTTCTCAGTTCAAACATAATCTGTTACTTAGTCCATCATTTGTCTTCAGTACATGAAAAATAATGGAATCCACACCAAAACTCTGCCCAGCTAACCAGTAACAGTATGGAGAGAAAAGTCCTCCCATTTTCTGAAATGTATAATTGTATATCTCAAATTAACAGCAGTAGTTACATTTGTCCAGGTCTAGCTCTAGGGGGGAAATATTTATAACTGTAAAGTACAACATCCACACTTAGGAAATTCAAAGAAGACATCTTTGGAATGGGCAAGGCTCAGCAACTAGAGAAGAAGGAGACGGCATTACGAACCACAAACCACTTGCTGCAAGGCATCCAAATGCCTTTGCCCGCTTGTGTGCATCTCTGCCCAATACTCACTCCTGATTCTCACTCCCTGCCTGAATCTGATCTTCCTCTCCTCGGTTTGACTTCTGACAGGTAGCTCTGGGCTCCTCTCACATCTCCACGAGGATTCAACTTCCCTTGGCTTTACATGGGATCTGCTGTTGCTGCACCTTAGATTTGTGTCTCTGGATAATGAATGAACAGGCTCAAACTCCACAAAGATCTACTTGATTTTCTCCAACAAACTACATGTTAAGATATATACTTGATGACCATATTAAATTTTCATAAAAAAATCATTGATCTTACTTGGAATTAATCAAACATAAATCTGTAATGTACACACACAGACACACACACACACACTAATCAGAGCTTCTGGTCAAAATAAACTCTTTAGTATTTCGACATTGAAATGATAAACTTCTACCCCAAAGTGAAGAAATTCAATGAAATTTAGTGCTTCTCTTCAATTTTCCTACTGTATTCTGAAAAGAAGAAAGTATCATTCTTGAATTTCCTACAGTCTCTCATGTACCCTAATGATAAACTTCTGGTTTTAATAAAGGGAGTTAAAAAATAATTTCCAAAATAGAGAATGACAAAATCATATTTTCCCATCTTCAGGATACCTTCATGGCACCTGGAGGATGGAGAGGAGGATGAGAGCGGGTCTTAGGGTGCTGGGGTGTAACGAAGCCAGGGCAAAATGGAGCGGTGGGCAGAAGGCAACTTTCCAGGCCCCACCCCAAGTGACAGGCAGTGAGATTTAACACAAATCAATCATCTGAACGAAAGTTTAAGATGATTACAAAACATGTCAAAAGAATGCAAGGCTCTTTGTCCAAACCAAGAGAAGCAGGGTCCTGGAGTGGGGGAGCAGAAGGAAAAATGCAAAGCACACTTTGCAATGTCAGCTAAACCCTCACCATTGGAATGGCAGGACCTGAAGATACCCTGTTTGCAAGACAAAGGAAGAAGCAGCATTTGTGATATCAAAAGGGGAAGGAAGTCAAGTGAAATGAATGTGTTCATGAGACATTCTGAAATGTTTCAAACCCATGACACCTGGGGGTGAGAGAAAGGCTTCAGTGGAGAAGACAGAAGAATGATTGGTAAGACGCCCTGGAAGAGTTCACGTGGGCGCCTAGCACCTCTCCTTCTAGCCTGTTTTATGCTGTTTTGTTTGTTGTTTTGTACAGCATGGTACCTGCTCATTGCCTGTGATACTGGTGAATATGAAAATAAGAACAAATAAAGTGATTTGGGAGGTGGAAATGCGCAGAGAGGAGTTCATTGAATTACCACGGTAACCCACGGGTTATTTCCAAAGTCTATCCAATCACTGATAACGCTGAATGAATCTCAAATTTTTCTACCAAAGACAATGTATTTCTTCCTTTAGTACTAAACAATTTTTTTCTTGAAACACTGAATCTTCTCATCAGTGAATTGTCTGCATTTTTTCCCCATTTGGTTTACCTGTCAGGATATTGAAATTCTAGTTCATTTTCCTCCCTTTACTTATTAACTAATTCATTCCTTAATTGGCCCAACATTTCAATAGATGCTTACTAGGCATTGCTATATGGTAAGTCCATTGTTCTTTGTAACTTGTTGAGGGCCGCGTCTTCTTCTTTGGAACTCTGAGGAAGAGTCCGACAGAGGAAGACATGCAAAATGGGGTTACGGGAGGGTGGGAGGGTGTCCGGGGCTATCCTGATGTCCTGCAGCCTCAGGTCTCAGCCAAGAGCCACAGCACATCCCTGAGGGAACACCCTCTTCTCATGTCAGTGCTGTCACCATGACAGAAGACAGAGAATAGAACGAACCCTGGAATCGGGACAAAAATCATCCATTCTGGTCCCAGTTTGGCCACTGAATACCTTGGTGACCTTTGGAGAGTTATTCAGATTCTTTGGCCTCTGTTTCCTGGAGAAGCAAACAGGATTTAATTTGTTCTTTGCAGAACTTCCCAGCAGGGAGAAGCAACACCTCCCATTGGTGCTTTCGAAGGCCATGCGAGCACCATGCCAATGCTAGGATGTTCCTTAGTTCTGTGACCCTCTCCTTGTTTCATGGACTCTCTTTCTCCCTGGCTCACACTGGAGTTTTAGAACTGGGAAGCCAGTTACTTCCCCACATGCTCTTCCTCTCTCCCCCTGGCAACTCCGCTCTGTGCCCCAATCTGCCTTGGGATTCAGAGCTGGAGAGAGAAATCAGGAGCAATCGAAAAAGAAGACAGAGAAATGGTCTGAAGTCATAATCGAGAAGCAGAGTAGCCATTTCTGCCCATATTCCCAGACAATCTGGACATGAGAAACAATAACCACATTCCCCTTTATTGACAGAGGACTTCTGTGTTGAAAGAGACAGGCATGCTAAGTGGTGTTCCTGATAAATCGCATACATGTTAGGGAAACAGCACAGATTTTGGAGTCAGTTGTAAAGCCTGGCCACACCGTTCAGGTGCTGCGTGATCTTGATTAATGTGGTATCTCTGAGCCTCTGTTTTCTGATCTCCGGATAAGGAGAGCCAGACCTACTTCTTGTTGAGGAAGCACAGTTATAATATGTGGATAGTGCTTCAAGCATCATGACAACCGTTCTTGCTGCTGAGGTTACTTTCAAACAAGGTCAAGCTCCTTGTTTACATCTGTCAGTTACATGTGCACCACCTCTGAGGCTCATTCATTCCTGGTCTTCCTGGTCGGAGTGGAACAGAAAAGCATTGCAGATAATCACCAAGTCCAAAATCACCAGGCTAGCAACCCCAGAATAACCTGCCAAGTCCTGTCAGCTGTTAAGGATGCAATTATTCCTCTAGACCTGCACTTGAGGCAGGTGGATAAGTAATTCTAGTCACTTGCCCATTGATTGGGTTAGTTTTGTTTAAGCACTGTTGGTGATTAGTAGCTGGGACTGGGAGGATCTCAGAGAGGGCAGGGACCAGCCAGCACATCGGTAAGAAGAAGGAGGCAGCCTAGGATATTTGAGAACCAACTCTGGGACACGCTGGGAGAACCGGCTGCCTTCTGCACCACTTTGTCCTCTGTCTGGGAAAGCAGCCTGCCTAGCTGGTCAGTTACACATTCTGGCCAAAGAGGAATAGTACAGCATTTAACAAGGCAAAGTACCAAGAAACACTTTTTCAAAAATGGTTCATATAAAGCCTAGCGCTGAAAAATGTTTTAGAATATGCTTAAAAAGGAAAAATATTCACAATATTGTGTTTACTTAAGGACAAGGACTGAAAGAGAGCAAAGAGGAGAAAAATCAGTTGGATTTCTTAAGATAGAGAAATTATATATGTTTCTTTATTTGGTACATACTTGATTCATTCCACAAATATTTTGAGGGCCTTCTCTATGCCAAAGAATCAGCTAAACACAGATGATGTAGATATATTAAAAAAAAAAAAAAAAAAACAAAAAAACTAAAAACAGTGTTCCCAACATGCTGTGATGCACCCTGGGACAAAAAAGTAAATGTAGCCTACTTCAAAGGACAGGAGAGAGGCACCACTTCATCCTCGAGGAAGCACAGTGGTCTCTCCAACCAGGCTGGTGGAATATGCATCTTTAAAACACTAGAAGTGGCTGGGCACGGTGGCTCACGCCTGTAATCCCAGCACTTTGGGAGGCGGAGGCGGGCAGATCATGAGGTCAGGAGTTTGAGACCAGCCTGACCAACACAGTGAAACCCTGTCTATTAAAAATATAGACACCAAAAAACAATTAGCTGGGCATGGTGGCAGGTGCCTGTAATCTCAGCTACTCGGGAGGCTGAGGCAGGAGAATCACTTGAACCTGGGAGGCGGAGGTTGCAGTGAGCCGAGATCGCGCCACTGCACTCTAGCCAGGGTGACAGTACGAGACTCTGTCTCAAAACAAAACAAACAAACAAAAAGCACTAGAAATTAGGCAGATCGATGGAAAAGAAATACCCTGGGTGTCAAAATAGTATGCAAATTGTACACACGCACACATATACTCACACATCCATGCATGTATGCACACACACACACACATACATACATATATATGTTTTTTTTTCAATGATGTAGCCCTCGTCCTCCTGGGCCAGCACAGCACACCTTAAAACGGTTCCCCGGCTCTCCCCACCGCAGATGCGGTAGGCACACAGCAGAGATTTTTCAATTATTCACTGTGTGATCTCCTACATGCTGCAAACGATGCCCAATGGAGTCGTGTTTCTCATCTAACATCCACAACAGGATGTCAACACCTGCCCTTGGGGTGCGAGAAAAGTCGGAGTGGCTCTTCAGGGCTGTCACTCTCTGGAACAAAGACTCACCTGCTAGCTGATGTGCTTACTGGCTTCTGCTAATGTGACAGCGTTCACTGGAGACCCAGGCCGCAGCATCAACATGTCACCTGAGCCAAAATCCCGTCCTTTGGGTCACCTGTCCTCCACGGCATCGCCCATATCAAAGACAAAAGGGCAGGGATAATTTATTTTTAATTCTCTGTCTATTGTCAGCTCTGCCCCAAATACTCCAGTGGTTTGTACCATATTTTGTGAAAACTTTAAAAACCAAAGAGGCATATGCCACTCAGGGAAATCTGTGGCTTGCTAGTTGTAGTTTTCTAGATGTCGTAGAATACATTTGGCCTCGGAAAGAGAGATCAGCTTAGAGAGCAGAAGGCACTGAGAGTGTGCCCTGGTCAACCCAAGAGTCAGAGCAGAAAAAATAGCTGCAGCTGAAGCATATAGTTTCGGGATCTCGTGGTGAGATCAACTAGCACGATGGAGTTTCCTCAACTACAAAAAGAGAGGCTGAGATTAGCAGAAGACACCTTTGTTCACTTGGGGTAAAATCGTACTAGGATTGAAATATAATGGGGAGTAGGATAGCGAGATTAAGACTTTTGTTTAAGATAACTCAATGCATCTGTGTGCCAGATGGATCCGCAGAATCACTCCCAAAGAATTCCTCAGCAATGACATGTGGGTTAATGGCAAAACCTAAAATCCCTAAAACTGCTCAGTGCTGCCTGTCCAGCATCCACTCTGTCTTCTGGTAGCTGTGCTTCTATTTTACCTTGGCAAATAACCCTTCCTCATTCTCAGCCCATGGGCTTTGATGAGGCCAATACAACCCCCCAACTCCGTTCTGTTCTCTCAGGATTGCATAGTCTTGGGCCTGACCACGCCACACCTTTATCTCCCTACGCAGCGGCCAAGAATGAGTGTATTTACAATAGAAGCTCCATGACTCAGCTCTGGCACCTGGATTAGAGGTGTTAGCTGGGAACAGAGTCGGTCCACTGAGGTTACACGATGTGCACAACTGAGGCCTGAGGCGGAGTGACGCCATGCAGGGAGCATGTCTGAGAGTGAAGCCAAGGTGAGGGGGAGCAGAGACAGGGAGAGAGATGGACACCGTCATGGCGACGATATCCCCAGCCTCGTCTGAAACTAAACACGCAGAGATATTGACTTGTCAGATACATGACCATTTTCTTAAGTTTTCATTTTTTCTCAATTCAGCGTGGTTCAATTTTCTTAGTTCAACAAAAATAATTCTGCCCCTACAGACTGTGGTAGGCCAGACTTTGGCCCCCATGATCTCATGCCTGTGGATATGTGACATTAAATGGCAAAGGGGACTTGCAGATGGAAGTAAAGCGGCTCATCAGCTAACTTCGAGATAGGAAGAGTGTCCTGGATGCCACAGGTGCACCCCAGGTAATCACAGGAGCCCTTAAAAGCTGAAGAGCAGAGCAGAGAAGTGTGCAGAGGAGGTTTGCATGGCCACGGCAGGATACAATGTACTACTGTGGCTGGCTGTGAAATAGAAGGACTACATGCAGACACAAGACGGAGGCCGCTAGGAGTTTGGGGTGCTGTGCTGGCAGCCTATGAGGAAACAGAGCTCAGCCCAAGAACCTACGAACTAAATGAGCCTAGAAACCAATTCTCCCCTAGAGCCTCCACAAGGGAACCTGCTGTCTAGATGCATTAATTTCAGCTTCTGAGGCTCAAAGCAAATCCACTAGCCAAGCCGATCAGCCTTCTCAGCTACAGAACTATGAGATAGTAAATTCATATTGTTTTGAGCTGCTAAATGTGCAGTAATTTGTATGGCAGAAATAGAAAATGAACACGTAGACATCTATTTTAACACAAATCCACCAAGTCAAAAATATGATTCTGCAGTGTGATTGTTCCATTGCTGTTATATTGTTTTGCTTTGAATGTGAAGTGACATAAGAGAGAGGTTTTAAAAATGCTAAGGAAATGAGACAGAGCGAAGGATATTGAGATCGCACCGGAAGTCCACCATGCGTGTTTAAATACTGTACACACACACAAGCATTGCAAACACAGACACAAGCAGGAGCAGCATGGGGCAGAAGGCAGAGAAACAGACTTGGTTCACAGTCCACAGACATCTTTGGCTGAATATCCTCTCAGTCAAGAGCAATAGTGATCTGTTCTAGGTTCTTCTGGTGCTGTTTAATTTTTCAGTTCCTTGTTGTGTCCAATACCAAGTTTAACAACAACCACTGTTGCAATGTCAGCAACTCAAATTTAGATCTTTCTTATTTGCTGACAGCTCTCTCTCTCTCGTGGGCACTTTGAAGCACGAAGGCAACCCCTTGATACCTCTGCACTGAGAGTGAAAAGGGTGTGGGGGCATCCTGCCCCGTGTGGCTCACTCTGCTGGTCCAGGGAGCCCCCTGCTGAATTCCAGCGCTGTCCTGATTGTCAGATAAGGGCAATTCAAGACAATAAATCGCTCACACAATTTGAAACAGATAAAAGACCTTCTCCCCTTTTGAGCTTTTGGGAGTGATTTAAATTCCTCCTAATTAAAAATATCACAACCTGGGATCAACATCAACATTTAGCAAATTGTTAACACTTAACTCAAAGGAGGATAGGAGAGGTTGCTGATTCCACAGACCTTCATGTTGGGGTTGGGGAAGAATTGGGTTCAAAGAGCTGACCCAAATCAGGCTCACCTCCCATTACAAACATTCGCACACAGACCCAAGATCTGACATAAATAGTTAACACACCGCCATGAGAGGGTGTTTGTGTATGTGTCTGCATTTGGTGTATGTGTGTGTATGTGTGTGTGTGTGTGTGTGTCTGTGTTTGGTGTGTGTGTGTGTCTATGGTGTTGGCTGTGTTTAGTGTGTGTATATCTGGTGTTTGGTGTGTGTGTGTGTCTGTATTTGGTGTGTGTATGTCTGTGTTTGTGTCCTATTTGGTGTAGGTGTATTGGGTGCTTGTGTTTAACGTGTGTGTGTGTCTATGTTTGTGTCTGTGGTTGGTGTGTCACTGTATATGCGTCTGTTTAGTTTGTCTGTGTGTGTCTGTGTTCGGTGTGCCAAGGAAGAGTTCTTGTTTATGTGTATCTTGTTTAATTTTTTACCGATTAGCCTACTAGGATGATCTATTCCCCTTTTTAACTTGGTTTAGATTAATTACAGTATATTTATTTTAAAACATTTTTTTTCATCTTTTAAGCATTAAAAAATGTTTTCTAACGGGCAGATCTCTCCACTTGTTCATTTTTTAATCTTTCCAGATTCTCATATCTGGTCAAAGATGTGAAGGAGCAGGGCTGATTTGAGATTTTTGTGGTTGTTCTTCATGGCTCTAACATCACTCCTGCACAAGACCCTGTTCACAAACCTCTTTGAGGAAACTCAAAATGAGGTGCACTGGGTAGAATTCAGAAATTCCTAAGACACCCCAGCAAAATACAATCGTGAGGGGAGTCTCCTTTAGTTCGTCCACCCATTCAAATGCTAATGTCTTCTAGAAAACATCATCACAGACACACACAGAAATGACGTTTTGCCAGCTGTCTGGACTTCCCTTAGCCCGGTCAATTTGACACGTAAAATTAACCATCAAAGCAACAAACCAAACGGATAGATCAAGCTCAAATACTCAGGTCATGGCAGACGACGCTCTGATCAGTAAACTTGAGTGACAGAAAGAGCACACACCCTGGAGTCAGAAACACCTGCGTTCACATCTCAGCTCTTCAATTTACAATCTGCAATTGTGGAAAGTTACATAAGCTCTCTAGCCTTAGTTCTCTCTATATCCAAAACGTGATAGTAGCATTGTCAAGAAGACAAAATATTTAAAGAAACTACATCTCAAAGTACCCGGTGCACAAGTAATGGGCAGAAAAGGCCTGGGCTCAAGCACAGGTCCCAGGATGAGCAATTTCTCTCAGCACCAGGAGTTCAACCGGCAGAGGATGACGTGTGCTCCTTCCTGGAGGGAGTGGCTCACCACCCCTCTCTGCCTCCAGATGACCAGAAATTCTTGGAGATTCTCCAGCATGAAGCAAAAAAAGGGAACTTGTGCTCATTGTCCTGCACAGCAACCTGGAGACATCTTTTCTTCTTGAACATTGGAAAAGGCTTGTGACATTTAGAGACAGAGAAATAAAAATTGTTCTCTGAAGAATAATAAGTGAGGCAGTGATTCTGTTTTCACACCAGATCCCAGAACACCAGGTCTGGTCAAGCCTGCAGGTAAGGAATTGGTATGCAGCTTGCAGAGGGATGGGGAGGGCGGGGCAGATAATCAACTTAAATGTGTCTTGTCTGCGGGAAAAGAGGATATTAATATTCCAGTGAAAACTCTAGTGGAATTCATTTTATGGAACTCCGTTTCCCTCGACTTTTTTTGTAAGTGCTTCGGGTTAACCTTTTGCAGATCAGCTCCTCTCTCACGGACGTGTGCCACAGAATGCATAAAGCTATGTAGACAGTGGCATGCGGTGATTCATACCACTAATTACTTATAAATCAGACAAAATGCTTAGTGAGATACCGCTTATAGCCAGAATTCACCCATTTATTTACTGACATCGTGTTGTGTTTGTAAAAACAGAGGGAATAGATCTGCCTATTCTGATTAATTTCATTCATTCTCTCACCGTATCAAGAACACATGAAAAATCACGCTAGATAATGTAAAAAAAAAGCAATATTATTCCATTGCAATATTGAATAAAACGCAATATTGAAACATTGAGTAAGGGCTTCAGTACTAAACAAAAACATGTCTAGATATCAGTTTCATGAGCATCAAATAAAAATTAAATAATAAACAGCCAAAACTTTCCCCTTCTCTCCCTCTCTCTCTCTTTTCTCTCTCCTCTCTCTCTTTCTCTGTCTCTCTCTCTCGGTCTCTCTCTCTCTCTTTCTTTCTCTGTCCCCCCCAGCCCCCCACCAATCTCTCTCTTACTAAGACTCAGGACCATTGAGCTAAGCTGGGAATACACCCCCGCTGCATGGGCGTCTTCTACAGTTTTAATTAATCTAATAAACCATGAGATATTTGAGGTCCAGAACTACTTCTTATTAACTTTCAAACAGTCAATGCTAACCAACTGCACAGCATATAAAAATCAGCTCCAAAATTATTTTCTGAATATTCTACATTGTCTTTTTAATTAAGTGATAAAAATAAGAAACAAGAGAGAGTTCTAAGGAGCTTTCACAGAACATCCTCCAAGGTGACCTAATGCGTAAGTCAGATCTGTATGGGTATCACCATTCAACCAACTCCAAATTCACCATTAATGTTTGTTAAAATTATTAACATTCAGAACCACCTGATTTCACTGACCAAGAGTCCTGTGTAACATGTCACAGAAGAAATGCTGGTTAGACTGATGACTTTTTAAAATGCATTTTGTAAACCTCATGTTTTTATCTTAATAATCTATTCTCATTAAAGCTAAAAACCAGTATATTGCTAGGTTATAGATTGTAAATTCTGGCTTCATTCCACTTTGGAAGTAGAACCTACGTTTGTTCCCAGGTAGTCTGCTCATAATGATATAAAGCCTCTGGATTACCTAGGATCACAAACTGTGCTTTGGTGGCCTGACCTGAAAGTGTCCTGTCTGCCCTGTGAAACTGTTGGAACCAGGAACCAGAATTCATAAAGCCAGTAACAAAACCATTTTTAAATATGCATACTCATCTCCAATATGCATCAGGCAGATGACAATAATAATGTTGGTGATGGTGCCTCAACACAAAGAAGGGCCGAGACCCTGGGCCCACACCTTGCTGGGCATCTTCCTGTCCATACAGCCCATTGGATACTTTAGGTAAGAGTCCAATTCCAGCTGGCCTCCTGGGTCTTTCTCCAAAGCTCACAGTTCCCACGGAGGTTGTGTGATGATGCTCAGACCCCTAGAGCAGCTATGAATGCTAAAGGCCTTAAGTTGACTTCATCAATGGTTTCCTTCTCTGGTCTTGCCTGACCTTTCCTTCTTTGTTTGTTTGTTTTCTGTACTACCTGTACAGGTGCTGGGTTCACTCAAGAGATGTCATTTCCCATCAATTTACTGTACCCTTTTATATTTTTACAACATCTTCCAATGCATTTGAAGAATATCGTGTGGTTCCCGTTATGGGAAGATCACTTCTAAATGTCTTCCCTACGACTTTACATGCAAATTTTAAGTCTCACTAAACTTGCATTGTGTGCTGGGCACTTTCGTGTGACTCTCTTGTTTCAACCTCACAATGCCCTGCTCAGGTGGATGCTTCTACTGCCTTTTTACACACAAGAGGACCCAAGTTCAGGGATCACTACAAAGGGAAATTCTCCAAATTGCAGATTCTGGTTTCAAATTATGATTCGGTTGATCAGTTGTAGGCTCTTGCTCTTTTATCAGATTTTTTGTCATCTGCCTGCATATTTAAATGTCATTTACCAGAGTGGAGACATTTGGGCTGAAAAACAGCCTGAGAAATTATAAAGAATACTGAAATGAAGTCACCCTGGTTCTAAATTCAGATTTTCCACTGATTTGCTATATGACTGATACAAGTCACTCTTTGTGGCTAGGTCCCATTTCCATCATCTGTAAAGTGATGCTGAAGGAGGTGATGATTTTAAAACTGATATATCTAAAGGCATGGCTATAGTGTCTACAATTTTATTTATTTTTCCAACAATGTGTGATAAATAAGTTTATTCATGAGAATTTTTTTTTTTTAATTTGACACAGGGAGAAAACTTGTTTCCAAATCATGGTTCAGATCGTCAGACTTATAAGCAAGTTTTTCCTCCTCTTATTCTACCTCCAGCCTCCTCATCTTTTGCCATCCTTCGCAGCTCACAATAACTCAGCACACATACACATACAGACTCACCTTCACACTCACATGTACAGACACACCTTCCACTGGCAGAAGCATGTGCACACACAGGACTCCTCCGGGGCTTGCCCTGAGTTCCACCACAACAGGCTTTTTACTAACCTTGCTATCTGTTAAGTAAGGGGGAAGGAGAAGAATGAAAGAGTATGGGAGTTGGATAAGAAAGAAAAAAAAAAACGGGGAGGTGGAGAATAAGTCTTTGGTTCTTTCTCCTGCAAATATCCAATCCTGACCTCGTGGCATTTTTTTTTTTGTTTTTTGACAGAGTCTCACTCTGTTGCCCAGGCTGGAGTGCAGTGGCGCAATCTCAACTCATTGGAACTTCTGTCTCCTGGGTTCTAGCGATTTTCCTGCCTCTGCCTCCAAAGTAGCTGGGACTAGTCGCTGGTCACCATGCACAGCTAATTTTTGTGTTTTTAGTAGAGATGGGGTTTCACTACATTGGCCAGGCTGGTCTTGCATCTGCTTTTAATGATTCTGCCTCTCTTAAATTAGCTGTAAGGGCTGGCAGTAATGTTTCTTGATCATCCAAGTGAAGAAATGAAGCTTTTAATATTCATTCATAAGTAATGTTTGTATTTGTTAAACCAATGCAATAGTCCATGTGCAAGAGATTCCAGCATATTTACCATTAGTTTCTAGCCACACCTCACCTTTCACACACTGGAATTAAAGGGTATTCAAGAGAGCAGAGATGATTTTTAAGAAAATAGTCATAAACTCAGAGAATGTTAGGAAATGGTAGGTCTTTCATGGTCCTGATCATAGAATAAAAGTCCTGATCATAGCCCACGTGTTCTTGCATGAAAGGACTCCCACCTGTCTCTATTTTCATTCTCCATCACACACACCATTCATCTTTCAGTTTCTTAGACAGGGTCAAGCTCTTTTCTGTCTCTATTCACTCATTCAGGATGATTTTCCTGCTCAGAACCCTCTTTCTCTGGGCTCCTCTCACAACCGCCTCCTTCATCTCTCTAGGGAAGTAAGTGCTGGCCTCTCTGCAGGCATCTCCGATGATCTTGACTATGGTAGCACACCTGAGTGCTGGAAATCATGCCTCTAATGTGTGCATTTACTTGTACATCTGCCTTTGATCCACATTAGATTGTGCCAACAAGAGGCCTAAGGCCACATCTGCATTCCCGGGTACTGATGGCCATGCCTACCACAATGGCTGGAATGGAGTAGGCACTCACTATGTACTGGTCATGGCCAGGGGTCATCCTGCTTTTCTTTAGGAACAATTCAGGCCTTAAAAAATCAAGAGATCTGCTGAAGGCTGCATGACTAATCAGGGTAAAATAAGGCCAAGGCTTCAAAGCAGGCCTTCTGACTTTCAAACCAATGCTACCTCTAAGGTGCCCTGATACCATGCCATGGCAGATGCATTACCTCTGGGCTTCCCTATCCTGACTCCGTTATGTCTCAATCGTATGATTTGTATTTCCTTATGTGGCTGATTAGAATTAAAAAGTTATTTTTTTCCCAAGGGCAGATCCTAGCTGGAGCCTTGTAGTCAGCATTCTTGAAGATGTCGCCAATGAAATAATGACTGCCAAGAAATGCTCAATTAAAATTTGAGGCAAAACTAATTGCTGTGAATGATTTAAGTGAAGGACAACAGGAGGTCCCATTTCAAAAAGTGTGAGATTCTCCTGATCGGTACTCAGTGCTATGTACTTCAAAGAGTGTGAGCAGACAGCACTGGGAATGGTAATAAATCTAGGAGTCCCCCTGGGTGAGACAGCCAGACTGGAGGGGATCCTTCGCAAAACACCACCCTGCCTGCACACTGGGTTGGAGCCTCAGGAAGTCTGCAGCACTTGCAGCGGGGAGGAGCCCGGTCCCTCCCCTTCCTATGTAGAACCTGGGATTCCAACAGTGAGGCAGGAAGCACTCTAGAAGGGAGCTCTGGCAGGGCAGAGTCCCTGTTTCCCCCTTTTCTTCCTTTTCACTCAATAAAACCCTGTCTTACTCAACACTGAATTTGTCTGTAAGCCTGAATATTCATGGCCGTGGGACAAAAGACCCCCGTCTTTAGCTGAACTAATGAGAAGTCCTGCAGCATTCAGTCTACACCCTTATTTGATGTATAGAAGTACTAAGGTTCTGAGGGAAGAAGCCATGTGCTTAAACAAGCTGGTCTCCCGACTCTTAATTTGATGTAATTTTCACTGAAAATCACAATTTCCAGACAAGCAAGGAGTAAAAGCAAACAAAAACGTATGGACAATCCCTCCCGACAGTTTCCCATGTGCTCATGCCCCCATCCTTCAACAGTTATTTGTTAAATAGTTATTTGTTTCCTAACGGCAGATCCTAGCCGGAGCCTTGTAATCAGCATTTCTGAAGATGTCTCTTCAATAATACCCATCACACGTGCTTACAGTGCAGAACTCCCCTCAGCTCTCTCCCAGCCTGCAATCAACACGTTCCCCTCTACATCTTTCTGGTTCCTCCACCCTGGGCACATTGACCCTACCTCACCCCAATCTACTTCCCCACGCATTGTCGCTGCATGAGACAATACCAGATTCCCGTGGATAAATTCAGTCTTTACCTTGCTTGACATTTTATTTATTCAAGCACTTTGGTAGCACCTGCTCTCTGCCAGGCGCTGTTCTACAAACTTTATAAATAGTAATGTAGTCAATGCCCATCCCAGTCTTTCAGAGTGGGTGCCATTTTTATCACCCCTATGTAACAGAAGGGTCTGAATCACAGAAGATAATAACTGCCCCACAGCTAAATAAGTGTGTGCTTCAGACTCATCAAGCCCTCCTGTCTCTTGCCTGGGAGCATAGGGAACTGGCTGTCTTTTCTCCTGACTTTCTGAACACCTCATCCTTCAGGCTACTCAGCCTCTTTTTCAGATTTCTCATCTACAGCCATTTCTTAGAGAATGATGCTGTCAGAGATTCTCTCCTACACTCTCTGGAAGCTCACACCTACCCCTCTGGTTGGGGTGTGGTATTCGGCTGTCCTTTGTAACGCTATTGCTTCCAAAACTGTATTTTCAGTGCCGACTTCTTGCCTGGAATCCACGCACATATATACAGCTGCTTCCTCTTGGTGGGAAATTCAGGCTCACATTTTTAAAACTGAACTTCCACTTCCTCCTCTAAAGCTCTGCTTCTCATTGTGTGCCTCTATCAAAAAAATACTCTGCTATCCAAACAGTAGCTCAAGGCAGAAGCTTAGCAGTTTTCCTCGAGTTCAGCACTTCCAATGAACTACCCAATCCTAAGATTCTACCTCCTAAATATGGCTGGACTCCATTTATATTTTTCATTCCAATGGTCTCTATTCTAGTTTGAAACACAGTGACTTATTACATTAGCGCAATATCTTCCTAGCCAGTGTTCCTAGCACCAGCTCTGCCCACATCCAATTATTGGCTACGTGTGTAAGATTATTGCTAAAACGGATAACAAAACGTTCCTCCTTCCTTGAAAATGCTTCGTGGCTTTCCGAAATTCTCAGGAAACAGTATGAAAAGAGCCACCTATTTATGAGGTTTTTCGTGATCTGGCCCCACTCTACCTGCTCAAACTTTCTTAATATTTCTTCCCATTGAATAGAAGCAATGTTTTAGCCAAATGCATCTAAACAAGTGTCCACTGAAAATGCTGTCCCCTGAGCTTCCTGTCTCACCCCCATGCCCTGCTTGCACAGATGGTACCCCCGCCTTCCAGATTTTAACACATCCGGTAATTCCCAGGAAACTTTGATTCCTCAAGACTGTTAGAATCCACAAGTATAGGCTTCATTACACCTTGTGTGTCTCCCGTATTAATATATTTTGTTGTTTTTTGTTTAATTTTTTGTTTTCTTGAGATAGGGTCTCAATCCATTGCCCAGGCTGGAGCATCATGGCCCACTACAGCCTCAACCTCCTGTGTCCAAGTCATCTTCCCACCTCAGCCTTCCCAGTAGGGACTACAGGCACACCCCACCATGTCCAGCTAATTTTTTGACAGAGATGGGGTACTGCCATGTTGCCCAGGCCGGTTTTGAACTCCTGGGCTCATGTGATCCTCTTACCTCGGCCTCTCAAAGTGCTGTACTAATGTTTAAACAAAGAAACAGGTAGCAAGAACACTGTGGTTAGTTCCCCATCCGCTGCTGAGCTCCCTGTCTTCAGAATGGTGGAGAAAACAGAGAACCTGGAACATAGTAGGCAGATAAACAATACCTGTAAAATGATATAGTGAATATATTTCCATCACTTCACTAACTCTGTATCTTTAATTTTGAAGGACACTGTGTTCCCCAGAGTTCACTTTTTAATGTAATTCACCTTTTAAAATTATACATTGGATACCTCTTAGCATAGCAATGTACTTTTTAAAGACATAAAATTCTATAGCAGTGAATTTTAGGATTTCCTTACAAAAACCACATTGCTAGGATAAAAAAAGAAAGAAAGAAAGTGTATTCAGCATGCTGTGGCATTCCTGAAGCGAATATATTTAGCATGCAATATTGTAGGGTCTTTAACTCATGATTGACTTTTTCTGTGTAGGTGGAATTTTTTTTTTAAATCAGAATTATTCTGGGCACAGAGATTTTGTTTTTCTGGTAACGGACCAGATTCTATAAGGGTTTAAAGTTCTCTTTCGCTGTAAATGCTGCAGCTTTGGGAACTGTTTGGCATTGAAACTACGTGGTTTTATGTGTAATCACTCTTTTTTCGTGACTCTCTGGAAGCTGCGAAGTGTTATTTAGAACTGCTGTAGGCAAAAAGAATCATATTTCTGTGTCATTCTTCAAAGATGTTTGTGTGATGACAGCTTGATTCTTCAGACCTGCTCAAGGGTAAGACTGTCTTATTTTTATTTTTATTTAAAAAGTAATTTTGCTACATTATATGGTTGGATTATTTTTTTTTTCTAGCAAAGCCTCATCTCTCAAACCTGTTTTTCTATTTTAGACTCTTTTCTTCTCATTTGCCTTTATTTTGATGGTTTGGGGAAACATCTTTTAGAGAAGAACATGTCATGAACATGAGAGCACAGACATCTCTTCCACAGACTGACTTCAAATCTTTTGAGCAAATACCCAGGAGTAAGATTGCCAGATCATATGGTAATTCTGTTACACAGAGTGGTGAATATAGTGAATAACAGTATATATTGTGCACTTAAAAACAGCGAAAAGAATACATTTCAAAGATTCTAACTGTAAAAAGTTACATTAAGAATTTGCAGTTCTCCCTGCAAAAATTTACATATATGTATTTGTGCAGAAGAATATGATAATTAGTTTGATTTAACTATTCCACATTGTACTCATAAAGTGATAACCTCTCCTTGTACCCCATAAATATGGGCACTTACAAGTTGTCATTTTACAGAACAATTTTAAATAGAAAAATATAAAGAAGAAAATGTACTGAAATAAAAACATCTGCACCTTCTACATCTCAAAAAAGAAATACTGACCAAGATTTTGAGCTCGCTAAAACAAAAGTCTTTAATTTTTCCAGAGTGTATTAAAACCTCAGTGGACGCTCTTAAATTCAAAATGTACATAATGGCATAAACTTCATGTTCTGTTCATTTTCACCTGTTGGAGAGAATTAGAGAAGGTGATCATACTTTCTACTTACTATAGTAGATCATACTTTCTCCTTACTATAGTAGATAATATTTTAACTCTGAAAAAAGAGAATGCAGGATTCTCACTACTTATAAAAACAGATGATTCACCTCAGCATTCTCATTGAGGAAAGCTTTTTAAAAAATGTTAAAAGCATCAAAGAGCTACAGGTCATGCAAAATTATGGAAACAAACCTCAAAGAAGACAAAAACCAAGTGTAGGGCCCACCCATCTCCCTTTTGTCCTGAGGGCAATCGCCAATTTTGAAAAAATATCAGTGAAACTGTGCAGAATCTATTGACTTTGTGTGGTGAGGGAATTGAATGCAGCCGACAAGGCTTGTCCGAATTAGTAATAATCATAAACCTGGCGCCAGTTTAATCTATGAACCAGAGTGATGACCCCTGAATTCAAGTGTGCTGGGTATCGAGCTTTCGTTTTCTTTTGACAACCAGCACTCATCTCCACTCCCTTCTGTTTTCTTCATGTTAGAGAACCAGGAACCCTGGGAACTTCATTTCCTAGACTTTCAAGAAGGACTTCAAAGATTTTAGATACTTCCAAAAGTAGAAACCAGTAGAAGAAAGTACTGTGCCTCCAGAGAAGACATGTTTTTCAAAAGCATCATGGTGAGGTCGTTTTTACTAAGTTCCAGAGAGTCCTGAAACTTCCTGATTTCCACATGCAACTTTCAGCTGTTCCCGATCCATTTCTTTTTAATGATCAGAATGGTTTTGCTTTCTTGATGGACTCCTAATCGATACAATAAAAGAGAATAAGAAGTAAATCTGCACTTAAATGAATGTATACACCCAAATGGTGTCAACTGGGTGGTCCAGAGAATTGTAAATCTTGCTATTGCAGAGTGCACCTGGCTAGATTTTCAGTGCCCCACATGCCTGCTCGCTCCCTTAGGGGGAACAGAAAAAAAATAAAACTTGCATCTTCTACCTCAAGTTATTTTCGCAAATTATTTTCCCAAATCAGAATATAATTAAAGATAACCAAGTACAAGAGAACAAGATATATATACTACAACAATATGAAACAATGAACAAGAGAAATAATTGCACAAAAAGATATTGGCTTATTAGGTAGAAATTGTTGTTAAAATACACTTGCTATAGTGAAGTAAATAAAAAGCCAGACTTGGCCAGTGAAGAGGGCTCACACCTGTAATCCCAGCACTTTGGGAGGCCAAAGTGGGAAGATCACTTGAGGTAAGGAGTTCAAGATCAGCCTGACCAACATGGCAAAAACCTGTCTCTACTAAAATACAAAAAATAGCCAGGCATCGTGATGCGTGCCTGTCATCCCAGCTACTTGGGGGGCTGAGGCAGTAGAAATGCTTGAACCCAGGAGGTGAAGTTTGCAGTGAGCTGAGATTACACCACTGCACTCCAGCCTGGGTGACAGAGCGAGACTCCATCTCAAAAATAAAAATAAAAATAAAATAAAATAAATGAAAAAAAACAGGATTAAAAATGTCTAAGAAACAGCAAAATATAAAATGACATAGCACATTAAGAAATAGAGAAAATGAAAATAAAAACTACTGTCCCCAAAACAAATAATTGAAAAGTTGAGCTAAACAGTATATTAGACACAGTTAAAGAGAAAATTGATTAATTATAACATACATCAGAAAAAATATCTAGAGAGCAAGACACAGAGATAAGATAAAAAATATTTAAAGAAAGAACGTGTGAGAAAGCTTCAAAATAGATAAAACTAACACGTAGGTTCAAGAAGTCCACTGAATCTTATAAATAAACACATTTATACATATCATACTGAAATGATAGAAAACCAAAGATGAAGATAAACATTACCTTCAAATCACCCATAGTCAGACTGACAACCAATTTCTCAGAGACAACATGAGCCATGTATGCAGGAATAATATACTCAGTATTCTGAAATAAAAGTAACTACCAACCTAAAGTTCTATATTAACATACATTTCCTAAAAGGATAAAGGAAGAATGAAGACAATTTCAGACCATACAAAAACAAAATAAAACACCAGAGTTCTTCATCCAAAAACATGCTGTAACAAAACTTCTAATTGATACAGATTCTACATATTCATTCATAATGGAAAAAAAATAAAGAACAGAGACAATGATAAATGCAGGGTTCTATCAAAATACATATTGATGACATTTGGAAATACTATTACTTCCTCAAAGATTTTTGTCAGACACACACACATACATACATACGTATATTACATGGCCATAATAACATATCAGGAAAGTGATGAATGAAAAACTCCAGGGGTAAGGTAGAGATACTGATTAATATTAGAAGTTAATGAGTTAAGTAAAAGTGCGTGCTTTATTTGGAGGAAGTAGTAAATTAAAAGAATTAGATAATGTAATTTTCAGAGTAACACAGGGAAAAAGATGTGATAAAAATAATCCTTCCAAAAGAAGACAAGAAATAACAGGGGCAGGGTGGGGAAAAACAGAGCAAGTAAAACTACGGTAAAGCAAACTTTACAATAGTACTATGGCTACTTCTACCGTAATAATGATGACATATTTAAACCCAACACATCATCAATAACACTCAAGGGAATAAAAGTTTCAGCTAAATAACAAAAATTTTCAGATTGGGTAAAAAGCTTTCTGGCTATATGCTGTTTATAAGAGACAAATTTAAACCAATGTATACAAAAATGTAAAGTAAAAATATGGAAAAATGATAACACCTATTTATAAAACAAATAATACTGTTACATCTATATTAATATCAGTCAAAATATACTTTAAAGCCAGAAGAATAGCTGTCATTCTAACACAAGCAGATGTGTTATAGAAAACAAAACACTACAGGGTTTAAGACAAAATAAAGTTAGGGACACACCAATTGTAAAGTTGGTCAGTGGAATATAAAATACATGACAACCTGATAAATTTGGTTGCACCAACTTGAGTCATGTTAAGTGGTTGAGAATTACATAAATACTGCAATAAATATTTACTTTGAAAAAACTTGATATTTCCTTGTAGAATCGGGTGTTAGAGGGATTGCAGTTTATGAATAATTATAAAACAGTGAACGAAGGTGATCTAAAATCTGGAGAAAACAAGAAAACTACCAGATGTGAATGGATGTGAAAGGTAGATGTTCAAGGTATATGTTGGGTGTATGTGTGCCTTGGGGTGTGTATGTGTGGGCTCTATGTGTGGTGTGATGTGGTAGGTATGTGTGTTAGTATGTGTGTGGTGTGTGTGTGTGTATGTATTTGTGGTTTTTGTAGTGTGGTGTGTGATGGAGTGTGTAGGTGTCCATGTTTTGTGGAATGTGATGTGCGATATGTGTGTGCTATGTGGTGTGTGTGTGTATGTGTGGTTTGTGTGGTGTGTGTGCATGTGATATAGTGTTTAAATGTCCATGTTTTGTGGAATGTGATGTGTGATATGTGTGAGGTGTGTGTGTGGTATGAGTGGTGAGTACGTGTGATGCTTGTGTGTGTAGTTTGTGTGGGGCATAGGGTGATGTAGGGTGTGTGTGTTTCTGTGGTGTTGAGTATTGCAGGACCTGGCCAACAGCCCACAGTACAACGGTGCTGTTTCTTTGTTCCCAGGCAGAGGATCCGCAGGTCGAGAAATAATAGACACACACAAGATAGTGAAAGCTGGGTCCAGGGGGATCACCGCCTTCTCGTCCTATGGTGCCACCAATGCACTGGATATACCAGCATTTATTATTAAGTTTAGTGAAGTCAGGGTTAGGTTAGTGAGGGATTTGGAGTCATTTGATTATGAAGTGAGATGGTCACATGGGGATGAAGTAATTCTTTAATATAACATCTGTATGCAGAAGTACAGTATACAGAGATAAGAATTTACAATATAGTGTGTGCATCAGTAATTTCTAACAGAGCCCTAAAACAGAAACACAGTCTTTCCATAACCTATGACTAGAAAGATATTAATCAGCAGTAACAGTTGCAGCAACAGGTGGTTACAAACAATCCATAGAAACAGGACGTGAAGCTAGACAACAGGTTAGACCAGAAATTCTCAGCGGGGAGTATGCCTTAACCCTAAAGAGGCCTAGAAGAGCCTTGGCAAGATGAGGGCGTTTATAGCCCTATCTTATCCATATGGACAGGCACCCCCCATGTGTCTGTTTATAGGCTCTCCACAAGGGTTGCATTCATTCCCAGAGCTAAGAACATCTGCTTTTCTGGGATAGGAATCTTGGTGATGTGAAACCTCCCTGACTGCACTTCTGTTCATAGGCTCTCTGCACGGGGAAGCACATCAAGCACTGTTGGCTCGTTCTGGCAGTCCAACCTGGCATTGTCTTTGCACAATCCTGCATGCAATTTTGTATTTACAATAATCAGAAGCATTTCATCTTTCATTCCATAGTAATAGTTTCAGGGGGTCTCCCTACAGATGTGTAATGTGTTTCATGAGCTACTTGCTTTTATACTTAGGTTTATCTATCTTTATCTGTATGTTTCTCTTCTATAACAGAATTCAATCTTCTTACATAAAACAGTAAGCACGCATCAGAGAGAAATAAACAATGGTGCAAATGCTAATATTTGGTGAAATTAGATAAAGGGTATGTAGGACTTTATTATACAATTCTTGTGACTTTTCAAGTCAGAAATTTTCCAAAATACAATGTTGAAGGAAAATGATATGATTTCTAAAAATATAAAACAAAACAGTAGAGAGACAAGCATTCCAGACAGAAGAAACTTTATGTAAGTATGAAAGCCTCAAGAAATGAAAGATCTCAGTTTTTTAGAGGGACCACAATAAAGATGACTAGAAAACAATTCATATTGGGAAAAGCTTATGGGGTCCAAACTGAAGAAACACCTGTGAGGAATGGTAGGTAGTGCCTGGTAGAGCAAGTTAAAGATGTGGAGTCTTAAACAAATAAACTGATGAGCCACTGAAGAAATGCCAGCAGGGATAGAATGTGGTTACCATGACTTGAAGATCTCTCCAGATGCTGTGTAAAGGAAGGGTTGGAGGTTCTGAAGAACATCCGGTGTGCACATGGTGTTTGCAGGAGTCCGGGCCAAAGCTGGTGATGTCTGGGACTCTAGCAGTGGCATTAGGGATGAGGAACAGTCAAAGATGCAATATGTATCAAAACAGATTTTGTAATTAGAGTCGATGAGATTTCTGTTGAAGGTTTGTACTTTGTGGGGAGGGTGAGGTGACAGGCTGGACGTCCAGCTTTACAGATTTGGTGGTGTCATTCACTGAGATTTGGTAGATTAGATTATGAGAAAATATCTACTGCTTACTATTTCTCAGACACCATGCTAAATCCCAGAGATACACTATTTGATGTTCAAGACTATATTATTAGCCTTATTTTATGGAGGAAGTAAGTAAAATTCAAAGGAGGTCCAAGACTATGAAAATATATGTATTTATATATCACAGCTGTGTGAGTTCTAAAGACTTTGCCCTCAACTGCTGTGCTCTACTGCCTGTCAAAGAACTATCTGTGCATATTTGGGACAAAGGTGCTTATGTTTTCTACTACTTTTATGAAACTGAAAATTCATAAACACACGTGAAATTTAAGGGTTGGGGTGTTGACTAGAAAGGATGCAAAGCTGACAGATAAAATTAGCCATCCTTTTGCTACTAGGAATTCTCTGTACCTGAAGTTGAAAGGGTAACTAGCGAAAGGAAGACTGAGTCTGTGCCCTCTGGGGTTCCAAGCTCCTTACTGGCATACGGTTTTGCACCTCGTAAAGACAAGTTGGTCAATAATGGACCGCATATACAACAATGGTCCCATAAGATTGAAATGGAGCTGAAAAATTCTGGTTATCTAGTGACATCATAGCTCTCATAATGTAGTGCAAGGCATTATTCACATATTTATGGTGAAGCTTGTGTTAACAAACCTACTGAACTGCCAGTTTTATGAAAGTATAGCCCATGCAATTATGTACAGTGCATAATATTTGATAATGATAATAAAAGACGATGTTGCTGGTTTATGTATGTACTATATTACACTTTTCATTGTTATTTTAGAATGTATTCCTTCTACTGATAACAAAAAAAGTTAACTGTAAAACAGCCTCAGGCAGATCCTGCAGGAGGTGTTGTAGAAGAAGGCATTATTATCATGGGAGACGATGGCTCCATGTGTGTTATGGCCCGTGAAGACCTTCCAGTGGGACTGGATGTGGAGATGGAAGAGAGTGATATTGGTGATCCTGACCCGGAGTAGGCCTGGGCTAATGCATGTATTTGTGTCTTGCTGTTAAACAAAATTGTAAAAAGTAAAAAATAAAAAATAAAGATTCTTGAATAAGAATGTAAAGAAACAAAATACTTCTGCGCAAATGTATAATGTGTTTGTGTTTTATGCCAAGTGTTGTTATAAAACTATCAAATAATTTTTTTAAAAAGTGTATAAAGTAAAAAAATTACAGTAAGGTAGGGGAAATTACAGTAAACTTTCTTTACTATGGAAGAAAGAAAAATATCTTTTTATTTGTTTGGTGTAGTCAAAGCGTACTGTATTGATAGAGTCCACGGTAGTGTAGAGTTAAGTTCTAGGCCTTCACATTCACTCATTGACTCACCTCGAGCAACTTCCAGTCCTGCAAGCTCCATTCATGGTAAGTGCCCTATATGGGTATGCCATTTTTAAAATTTTTATACTGTGTTTTTCCTGTACTTTTCTATGTTTAGACACGTAAATACTTACCATTGTGTTACAATTGCCCACTGTATTCAGTACGGGCAAATGCCGTACAGGTTAGTAGCCTTGGAGCAATAGGCTCTACCACAGAGTGTAGGGGTGCAGTAGCCATCTAGGTTTGTGTATGTACCCTCTGTGATGTTTGCACAATAATGAAATCCCCTCAGGACAAATTTCTCAGAACACATCCCCATTGTTAAGCTGCACATGACTGTATAATATTGCAGACACCCAGGAGGGCCAAGTCGGACGTTGGTCAAGAAATGAAGCAAGGATTCTGGAGCCACTCTTGCTGGGTGCTGTTTACTGCTTGGGATCCAAACACACCTGTCTCTGATAAACGTGTTAGGCAGTAGCCACTTCCCAAAGCAGTTCTTCACATTACATTCACAGAGTACCAGCATTGCCACTGTGTAACAACACATTCTCATTCTCCATGTTTCATGCGTGTCCCTATGGCTTTTAGTGGTGCGTTCTGACTATGTATTTTAAGGTATCATCAAAAGTGTGGCTCTTGTTTTTAAGGGCTGTTTCCATTTTCTAGATTCCCAAGGGCAGGCATACACAGACACCTCCAGCAGGACCTGATTATGCAACAAATTAGCTATTCTCATGTGAAACCTATTAAAATCATCCGCTAGCATCCAAACAAAAGCATTTTATGAAACAATACCTCTGATTATACTGCAATAATAACGAGATGCAATTATGTCATCTCTAAGTGGAGTTTGAAATTTTGAGACTTAAGCTGCTGATGATTTTCACACGCAAAAAAAGCAACACAGCCATGTGAAACTGTGGAATATTTAGAAGACCAATTTAAAATTGTTTACACCTAATGAGCAACTGATCAGCACTATGTCCACAGTGCATATTAAATGTGTGAGACTATCGCAAACCCTTCACATAACTTCAAGAGCTGCAAATGTATTTGGCACATAAAATACAGGAACTTAAGCACTGAAGGGGGTAAATGACTAGATGGAGTTTGTTTTATAAAGCGATTTAAGTAAAAATAAACTTTGAAATTAACACTTTCATTGCAACTATAAAAAGCGTGAATAAGGCAGGAACATTGTGTTTCTAATACTTCTAGAACCATGGCAAAACAAACGACTTCAGACCAAAACAATAAACGAGTTCTTACCAGTTCATAAGAGACAGAAGACTTGGAAACTATAGACGATCACAAAATATTAATACATTTGACATGCGTTTTTTGGTTCACTAGGAAGTTGACTAAATTACTCTGTAGTCATTGGTAAAACTCTTAGAGAGAATGAGTTTTTAACACAAAAAGCTGAGACCTGAATAAAAGACCACGAAATTCAAATGCTGACTCTGCAACAGTTTTGCTACATGACCCTGGAGAAATAATCAAACCTTCACCTACGATGTCTGCAGAAAATAATTTTAAATGCATTTTAAATCCTAAAATATTAAAGCCAGAAATAGACCTTAAGGATTATCCAATCCCTATATTTTGCAGAGCAGCAAAATGAAGCCCAAGAGTTAAGATGGTGTTTATACCCGGATATTTTTCCTGATTCCTACTTTTTCAACTCACCAGCAAGGATTTGAATGGAATAAAAGAATTTAAGAGGAAAGAAAAACACATATAATTAGAGCTGTCATTTATTGAGATCCCCTTAGACAGAAGAGTGGTACTTTAGATGCATCATCTAATTTAAGGGACTCTATATCCATTTTTTTTATTTTTCAGATTAATTTTTTTTAAAGAAAAAGCTCAAAGAAGTAGCTTACCTATATTCATACAGTAAGGTGGTGTCAAATTTGAAACTTGAAGTTTTCTACCTGTATGTTGTCTAGTGGGCTCAAAAGTCACTCAATCTGAGACTTCCTCAAAACCAGATTTGAAAATCAATGCTTAGTTGTACACATATGTTCACAGTAACATTATTCATAATAGCCAAATAGCAGAAGAAAGCAAATGTCAATCAACTGATGAATGGATAAATAAAATATGATGCATCCATACAATAAAATATTACTCATTAATAAAAAGTAATGAAACACTCATCTATGCTATAGTATGTAAAATCTCAAAATAGTGTGCTAACTAAAAGAAGCCAGTCACAAAAGATCACATAATGTGCAATTCTATTTACATGAAATGTCTGGAATAGGCAAGTCCCTAGAGACAAAAAGTGGATTTATGATTGCCTAGGGCTGGAGAAGGTGACGAACGAATAGGGAGTGACTGCTAAGGGGTATGGAGTTCTTTGGGGATGATGAAAAAAATCAAAATTAAATTAAGCTGATGATTGCAAAATTCTGTAAACATACTAAAAACATTTAGTTGTAAATGTTGAATAGATGAATTCTATTAATGTTAATTATATTCAAATAAAGATTTTAAAGAATTAATGCTTATGGTCATTAGATAATGGTATCAAAGATCCTTATAGTCAATTCCCTTGAGATCCCTTTCAGTTTATCAACTATCATACAAAGTGACCATACACGGAATGCCAGGAAGTCTCAATACTGGATATGTCAGCCTTGTATTTGTATAGTTGACTACTATTTTTTTATTTTATTTTTGGTGTTTATTGGGTGTTCTTCAAGAAAGCTTTGCATTTTTTTAAGGTAAGGAAGATATATTATGTTTCATTTCTTTTAGAAACTTCATAGCTTTAGCTTTAGGTTTAACATTATGTCCAGCTTAAATTAATGTTTGTGGAAAGTGCGAGTTGACTTTTCAGTTGCTTTTTTTACCTGTATGAACAATCAAGAGTTCTAGAAATATTTGTCAAGGGGAAATAAACGTACCAATTTCTCTTCTGTTGGCTTCTTTGTCAAAATAAATGAGCTATATGATGGGTCAATTTCTGGATGGACTTTCTGTTCTGGTGATATTTTGCAAGTGTTATGCCAATATAATGTCTTGATTACTATGGCTGTAGAGTGAATATTGAAACCAGGAATATTGTTCTTTTTCTTCTTGTTTGACTATACCAAGCCCTTTGATATTCTGTATATTTTTTATAATAAATGTCTCAGTTTCTCCAAAAATGTCTTCTGGGATTTTGTTAGGGTTTCTCTATTATCTATAGATTAATTTGAGAGAGCAACTTTATAAAACTATTGCATCTTTCAATCCATGAACATGGTATACATTTCCGTTTCTTGAAGTTTTCTTTAATTTTTTAATCAATGCTTTACAGTTTTGTCATTTTCAATATTGAGGGGCACTTTAATTATATTTCTAAATATTTATGCATCTTCATGCAATTTTCTGTAAATTTTATTTTATTTTTCATTTGCTACCAGCATAAACAAATATGAATAAGCCTTGGGTATTTACACAGTTAGCTCTAGAAATTTACTTGTAGATTCTTTATCATCTTCTAAAAAATTTATGTCACCCTTAAATACAGACATTTTTATGTCTCCTTTCAGGTGTACATAACACTTTTCTTGCCTTACTTCACTGGGGATGCCATCCAGTATATTGTTGTGTAGAAGTGATAAGAAGGGTTATTCTTGAACTATTTGCCATTTTTAAATAAAAGTGTTTAATAACTCACTTTAACCGTAGATGCTTTATAAATGCCACTCATTGGGTTGAAGAAGTTTTCTTATATTCCTAGTTTGTGGGGAGTTTTTATCATGAATAAATTCAATTTTGTCAAAAATTTTTCTTCATTTAATGAGATATAATATTATTTTTATACTTTATGTTATTAATTTATTAAATTATATTAGTTTTCAAATCTTAAACCAACCTTTTATTCCTGGAATAAACTCTACTTAGCATATTATCAATTTTACATATCATTTGATTTAACTGGCTATTATTTTATAATGCATTTTTTTGTCTAAGTTCATGAAGGATCGTGACTTATAATTTTCTTTGCCTGCAATGTTTTGGTGGAATTTTGAAGTAGAGTATTTTTGGCTTCCTAAAATAAGTTCAGAAGCAGATTATCATCCTCTATTTCCTAAAAGAGTGTATGCATTTTTCAACCTTAAGTATTTAATACATTGATCCAGTGAAACTATCTGCAGTTGTGTTTTTCCTTTGCAGATTTTTACTGGGAACCGAATTTGTTTAATGGATTTATGCCTATTTTACTTCTGGATTTCTATTCAAATAATTTGAATAGATATTGAATAGATATTGAATATATCTATTCAAATAATTTCTGAAGAAACTGGTTAATTTTATTAATTTGTCAAAGTCATTGGTATAATGTTATTTGTAATATTACCTTATTATTTTTGAATATCTGTTGTATCTGTAGTACTGTCACTTTAATCATTGCCAACATTGACCATTTATGTTTTCCTCTTTTACCCCCTTTGCTTAGTCTTGCTAGACTTTCAAAAATACATTTCATTAATCTTTTAACAGAATCAACTTTGGAGGTTGTTATCTTTTTCTACACTTTGCCTTTGTAAAATGTATTTCAGTTTTTCTTCTCTTTTTTTCTAAATACTTTGGCTTAAAAGTCTAATTACTTTGGTTATTTTTCCTAACTTTTAGAGGTAGAAATATATTATTGTTTTAAAATATTTTCCGTCTTTTATGAGTTTCTCTTTCTATAATTTTTTTCTCAACTTTTAGCTACTGCCCATATATATATATTTTATTATCCTTTATTTAAATATTCGTATTTTATAAATTCATTTTGAACTATAGCTGATATATACATGTGGTTTTCAGTCTCCACATATTTGTATCTTTTTCAGATAGTTAATTTTTGTTGATTTATAATTTAATTTTATTTTAATTAAAGAACAATACACTATTCATTGTATGTGCTGAAACCAGCTTGTAATGACTTGAGAAAGCCAGTTGTTACATGTCCAGAATTTTAGCAAGCTTAAAAGTGGACATGGGCCAGGCGCAGTGGCTCAGGCCTATAATCCCAGCACTTTGGGAGGCTGAGGTGGGCGGATCACGAGGTCAGGAGATTGAGACCATCCTGGCCAACACGGTGAAACCCTGTCTCTACTAAAAATACAAAAAATAAGCCAGGCGTGGTAGCAGGCACCTGTAGTCCCAGCTGCTAGGGAGGCTGAGGCAGGAGAAAGGCATGAACCCGGGAGGTGGAGCTTGCGGTGAGCCGAGATCGTGCCACTGCACTCCAGCCTGGGTGACAGAGCAAGACTCCGTCTCAGAAAAAAAAAAAAAAAGTGGACATGCCATGGAAAACTGCAAACACTTCAAATCAGGATGTTTGTTTTGTTTTCTTTGTTTTTTAAAAAGCTGGTTTACATGTAGCAACAATGACCATGATGTTTCAGTCTTTTAAATTTGTAAATGTATTTTATGACTCATGAGGTCAGTCATGATCAAAGTGACTCTTTCATTTGCATTTGAAAAGAATGTGTAGTCTTCAGTTACATATGTGTGCTTGTGTATAACCTTATAACTGAAGACTATAACAGAAGACTATATATATATATATATATATATATATATGAATGATAGAGATATATGTGTGTGTTATATGCATGTCACTGGTTGACATTGTTTTCAAATCTTCCACAGATAGATCATTTGGGGATCAAATATTAAGATAAAGTATTAAAATTCCAACTATGTTTGTAGATTTTTGCATTTCTCCCTTTAATTTTTATCGTTATATTCCTCTTCATTCTGCTTATATTTTAAGTCTAGTTTGTTTCATATTAATAGAACAATAGTAGAATTATTTCTATCTCCATGAAATAATTTCAATACCTTATATTTGCTTATATTTGCTTTGAATTCTAGTTTGTTTCATATTAGTGAACAATAGTAGAATTATTTCTATCTGCATGAAATAATTTCAATACCTTACATCTAGTTTGTGTCTTTCTACTTAAAGTGTCTACTGTGGACAGAATATACTTAGAACTTGTTTCTTTTGTATGTACCTATTCTGAAAACTTCTGTCTTCTAATTGAAATGACAGATCCATTTATATTCAATGCAATTATTGGTGTGTTTTGATTTATGTCTATAATCTTGGTATTTGTTTTCTTCATCTGCCTTTTTCCTTCTGTTCTTCTATCTCCACTTTCTTTTGTGTTGTTAATTAATTTAACATTCAATTTTAATCTCTCCTCAAGCTACCCATCTTTGTACATATTTATTAGATTTGTTTCAGGCCTTATAATATTCTTTTATTAAAGATTACTCTACCTTAGTCATAATACCACTTATGTAAAATGTAATGACCTTGAAATTATAAAATTCTACTTTTCCAGTAGAATTTGTATTATTTATTACTATTGTTATAGTATTTTGTTTTTATTATTATATATTTTATATACAAGTAAGAATTAAACTTACAATAAAATGTTATTTTTTTTTGCATGAAACAGCTTTCTCTCTAAGAAAAACAATCTTTTATGTTTGTCCACTAATTTGCCATTTTCAGTGCTCTTCATTTCTTCTTTGGAACTGATTTTCCATCTGGTAGCATTTTGTTTTATTTTAGAGAACTTTCTTTAGCATTTATTCCAGTATAGATATGCTGGCAATGAATTATCTCATCTTTTCTTTTTAATTTGAATATATATTTATTTCACCTAAATTTTGAAGATGATTTCAATGAATAATAAATAAGTTTTGAGAGTCATATTTTTATTTTTGGCACTGAAATATGTCTTTTAGCATTCATTGTATCTGATAAGGAGTCATACTTCATTCACCTTATTTATATCCTGTATGAAATGTGTCAATTGTCCTCAGCTTCTTTCAAGATTTTCTCTTTCTCTTTTATTTTCACCAGTTTGACTACGATGTGCTAAGGTTGCTTATTTTTATGTTTATTATGCTTACAATTGGTTGAGCTTCTTGGTTTTGTACATTGACTTTTGAAATTTAATTTAGTATGTGTCCATTCATGTTATTCAAAATATATTTTTCTGCTCATTCTCCTCTTTTTCCTTCCCTCCTGACCTTCAATTATCCATGTGATAAAGCAGTTGATACAGTTCAACTGGTTACTAAGGCCCTGGTTTTTCTCTCATTATTTTTTTCTTCTCTCGGATCTTCTTTTTCAATGAATTCTATCCAACTGCTTTCATGTTCATTAACATTTTATCCAGCAGTATCCTATCTGATGTTATGTTCACTATTGTACTTTCCACTTCAAATATTACATGTTTAACTCTGAAATATCTATTTGGTTCTTTTTTATAGTTGTCATTTCTTTTCTGTGTTTCCACATCTCTTTTCTATTAATGGATACATTTTCTGGTAAGCCTTGGAACATACTTATGAAACATACCTAAAATAGATGAGAAAAAAGCGCTTGCTGCTATTTCCATCATTTATTGTTATCTTGGGATCTGTTTCTTTCTTTTTATAATTGGAAACTGTTTAATTTTGTAAACTTTAATTGCTATTATTTAATTGATAACTTCTTAAAATTGATAGAATTTTTTCCTTCTTTGTATGTCTAGTAATTTTTAATTGCATGCTGGCCATAATGACAATATGCTGAGGAGATTCTGGCTTATTTTAGGTATTTTTTCTGCCAGACAGTTGAATTACTGGGGGGTCCTTTTATTCCTATCATGTTTGATTTTACACATTGTTACAGTGGACCTAATTGAGTTTTGATCTTAGTCCTAGAGCAGGACTGTTATCTAAGGGGTATTTATGACCTTTCTGAGATGTCACATGAATGTCTGCCATGATCAAAGACGTATATCCAGTCTGCATATACTGGAAGCTTCTAAGGACTCTACAGCCTTTGGTACTGTCCTTCAACTTGAGGGCTTTTAACTAAGTGCCACCGAGTCTTCTTAGTCTGCACAAGTCCAACATAGTCTTCAACCAAAGATCAGCTATGAATTTTCATGCCCTGCAAATTCCAATCAATTCAGCAGCTTGGAACCCATATCTATACCTATTTAGTGAGACGACCATGCTGCTTGGGATCAAATAACCTGTGCTTTTACTGGAAAACGCACACATAATAGAATGCTGGGCAATCATGAGACTCGCCTCTTGGGTTTCTCCTCTGTCAAGGACCATGCCCTGTACTGCTTGCTGTTCAGTGTCTGAAAAGTGTTGCTGTATTTTATCAAGTTGCATGGTTATTTCAGTGGCAGGGCAAATCTAGTTTCATTTAACCTAGCATGGCCAAAAAGGAAAGTCCCAGGACAATTCTTTTATTGTCAATATCTTGCTCTAAAAGTGTCATTTTCTTCTTTAACTTCAGCACAGTCAAAAGTTTAAACTAAAGCACATAGGCCTCCTTGCTTTATAGTCAACAAATCTGAGGTCATGTGATCCTGAGTTGCTACTAAGGCCCAAAAGTTAATAATCATTTTTATATAGGAGATACAGTTGCTGGTCATTAATGGTGGGTTTATCACCCCTGGACACATATGCTTTATTTTTAATTGCAACTTTTCCGACACAGCACATTAAAACTTTAGTTTTCCCACTTATGCTCCATTGTATAGTATGACAGATCCTTAATGAACCTATATAACCTATATATGTCATTATATTACCATGAAAAGTGAAGGAATTCTGTATAGCAGGCTTGTGAAGGAGGCCTATCAACGCCTTGTGTTTTCTGCAGATGCATTACAGATTTCACCGGTGTCATTATCTACAAATACAGAGTGATTACTCATGGATTCTTATCTAAAAATGGTTAGAATTAGTATGGTTTATTATTAATTACCTAATATCCTTTTGTGTGAGTTCCCTAGGGCTGCTGTCACAGAGTTTCACAAACAAAGTGGCTTAAACAACATAAAGTTACTCCCTGGCACACCTGCAGGCTAGAAGTGTAAAATCAAGGTGTAGTAGGGTCATAGGCCATCTGAAGGCTCTGGGGATGAGCCCTCCCTTGCCTCTCCCCAGCGTCTGGTGTTTGCTGGCACTCCTTGGTGTTGCGTGGCTTCCAGCCGCATTACTCCAATCTCTGCCCCGCTGTTACATGGTCTTCTTCCCTATTATCTCCTGCTTGTCTCTGTGTCCAAATTTTCCTCTTCTTATAAGGACACTAGTCATTCAATTTATGACCCACTCTAATGCAGTATGACCTCATGTTAACTTGATTATCTGCAAAGACCCTTTTTTCAAAGTCGCATTCACAGTTTCCAGGTGAACATTTTTTTGTTATTTTGTTATTTATCTATTTATTTACCTATTTATAATTTTTTGAGTCGGAATCTTGCTCTCGCTCTGTCACCCAGGGCTGGAGTGCATGGCACAATCTCAGCTCACTGCAACCTCCATCTCCCCAGTTCAAGCGATTCTCCCGCCTCAGCCTCCTGAGTAACTGGGATTACAGTCATGCACCACCATGCCCGGCTAATTTTTGTATTTTTAGTAGAAACTGGGTTTCACCATGTTGGTCAGGCTGGTCTCAAATTCCTGACCTCAGGTAATCCACCAGCCTCGGCCTCCCCAAGTGCTGGGATTACAGACGTTAGCCACCGTGCCCAACCTGAACATGAATTTTGCAGGGGCACTATTCAACCCAGTACAGCTTATGGAAAGTTGGATGTGAGTTCTTGAAACTCAAATCATTTAAAACGCTTTTATGTAAATAATAGAGAGTCAATAGTCCTTAAATTCTGTTAAAATTCCTCACTTAAAATACCTGTTCACATTTTTTTTTTTAATTTCGTGTCTGATACCCTCCATCTACTGGTAACAGAGAACATGTCATGTTCCTGAATTCTGATGTGGAGGAGTACTTACGGGGAATAAAAGTATTTTTGCTTATAAATGTGGGTCAGTTTCTTGCTTCTAAAATTGGGTTATGTTCACACATATTATTCTTTCTATGACACTTGAGGGGTCAGTTGGAATAGAATAGCACTCAATAAAGGATTCACTTCTGTTTTCACAATTATATCGTACACAATTGAGGGTAATAAATGAGACAAGAAAGAAAAAAAATTTTCTTCTACATTTTTACTAAAAAGTAAAATACCAACAATACCAATAGCTGGTATTTCAGGACAGAAATATACAGTGAGATATCCCTCAACAATTTCATTCATTTTCTAAAATGTCTTCTATAATAAATTATTGTCCTGTTCAACTTGCACAGCAATTTATCTTAGAAATGTATGTGCTCCTGGACTGCAATCCATGTGATACATAATTATTCCCTTGTCTTGTTTTCTTCTTACAGAGCAAGTGGCTGTATGGTTGGATGGGTGTCTTTGTAATTTTATTTTGTATTTCCACTACCTAGCACAATACTTTTAATGTGATAAATTCATCTCCATGACAAGATTTGACAAGTCTTGTCAAATTTGGGGTCTATTTTATTTATATAAGTATAACCAATTATTAAATGTCAATCATAAATAAAAAGGAAAAATAAATTCCCTCATTTTGCATTTGTATGATTTTTTAATGATTTAAGTCATGAATGTTTAGGCAAGAATGCCACAGAACTGATGTTGTGCCCTTCCTAGTGCAAATGCATTGTATCAGGAGGCACATGTTGATATGTCTTTTTACTGATATTAATTTTGATTACTAGGTTAAGATGGAATCTTACAGATTTTTCCACTGGAAGGTTAGTATGTTTCATTTTGATAATTTAGAAGATTTTTGCGGAAAGGGATTTAACTGCTATCCAAGTATCCTGTTTCTCATCTTACTTTCACCCATTAAATTTTAGCAGCTATGAGTAATTCTGATTTGTAGCAATTATTACTGTGGTGTTTGCAAAAAACATATATATCATTACCTACATTTCATACATTTTTATCATTAAAATTTTTATTATTTGTAAACTTACTACCTGACACTACAGTAAGCAATAGAGACACAAACGTAACAATAGTCCCAATCTAGCTAACTTGATAGTCTACATGTATGTCTATATTTGTAACTAATTCTGAGATTATATTGTCAAGTTTTCAAAAGTAATAATATTAAAATTCTTGTATTGTATTGTGGGTATTCATTGATTTGAAAATAAGATACATATTATGATTCTTCTTTTTAAACACATTCATATACTTTAATGATGTTTTGTCATTATAAAAAAATTTGTTTTTATTTAAATTTTGTGCTTTTACTTTTGAAATATTCTTTCATTTTGTAATTTATTCATTTATATATGTTGCTGTTGTGAATGAAGCACTTCTTCCTGAATCGCATTCACTAATTGCAAACTTTTTTTTTTTTTTTTTTTGAGACGGAGTCTCGCTCTGTCACCCAGGCTGGAGTGCAGTGGCGGGATCTCGGCTCACTGCAAGCTCCACCTCCCGGGTTCACGCCATTCTCCTGCCTCAGCCTCCCAAGTAGCTGGGACTACAGGCGCCCGCCACTACGCCCGGCTAATTTTTTTGTATTTTTAGTAGAGACGGGGTTTCACCGTTTTTTAGCCGGGATGGTCTCGATCTCCTGACCTCGTGATCTGCCCGCCTCGGCCTCCCAAAGTGCTGGGATTACTGGCGTGAGCCACCACACCCGGCCTAATTGCAAACTTTTTTAAAAAAATTTGTATATTTATTCTGTGTTTAGCAAGTTAACTAAACTTTATTGGTAATTCTAAACATGTTTCTATTTCATTTATTCTCTACGAGCTTCTAGCTATTACCAAGCTTTTCATCGAAAAATTATAATTCTGGCTCTAGATTTATCATAAATGGTTCCATTGTTACTGTTTCATGCCCTATCACAATGTCAAAAATTCTAGAACAATGTTAAGCTATATTAATATATTCTCATTGTTTCTGATTTAGCAAACACATCTCCAATTGTTTCACTCTTATGTATGAATTTGACTGTATGAAGTTTACTAAGCCAACATTATTTATCATGCTGAGCAAGTACATTCTATAGATAACATGACATTTTGTTGACGACTCATCTTCCAGTCTACCACTCTTTTCTGGTTTTGAAGGTCTCAGTTGTGTGAATCATGATGGTAGGCAGAGTCCCTCCTTCCAGCAGAGAGAATAAATGGAGACATCCCTCTGACTCTGCCCAGAAGCAGGAACTCATAACCTATGACTGGTTGACCAGATGTCCCAGCCTAGATATTGAATCTCCGTGAGTGGCGCAAAGTTGGAGGGCAGTGCACTGTAGTTCATGGTGGTAATGATTAGCTCCGATGACCCATCGGCATCAAAAGATTCAAGGGCAGGTGGAGCACAAACTCAATTTTGGGCATAGGAGAAACAAACCTTTGCATAGTAGGTTTGCCATACAAGGCAGTGAGCAATTCTTATCACAAAAACATACTACAGTGGGACAACCCAGAGGGAATAATCATTAGTTCTAGTGGGAGATGAGACAGAAAACTTATAAGAGAGGTACAGCATTAAAAAGAAGAAATATGATAGAAAAAAGAGAAAAAATATTTCCTAGACTATTTCTTTAACAGATCTTTAATATTTCTGTTAGAGAAAGTTGCTGAGATATTAAATTAACCCAGCTAGCTGCCTATGCAATGTGATGATTTGAGTATATCAACTTTTGGTACTGATTACCATAAATTGCATGTCTTTTTCTTAATGTATTTATTAAAGGACTTGCATTATAGTCTGCCTGTTATTCAGAGGAAAAGAAAACACATAAAAATCAGAAGATCATTTTCTATTAGTTTCAGAGAACTCAGTGACATATTAAGCACGGTGCATTAGTTTTGTTTTTGTGCTCCTGGACTGTTTCACTAGCTTGTAATGTTTTTAAGACATAAATGCCACAATCATTTTTGAACCTTCTCTGGAATCGGCATTTTGGCTTTCCCAAAGTAAGTATCAATAAGCAGGTGGGTTATGAAACCCCATGTCTCCCACTGGAGAGAATAGACTAAGGTCACAAACTCCATAATATTGTTGATTCGCTCTGTTCCTAACTGAAATTATGTTCCAAGCACCAAGCAGAGCTGCTGCTCTTGAATTTTAATCATTGTTCTTTGCTTTGGATATTGGGTTCTTGTTGTTAACAGCAACTGCTGAGTCATAGCATCTGTTTATTTTGTATTGGGGTAGTGATCCCAATTTAAAATGAGATGCTTTCCCACTGTTTATGCATTGCCATAAGCCATCTATCCAAGAGAATTTATCAAAATCACTATTATTTATCACTTATTGTCAAGTACACCATCACTCACTACACTGAAGATCTATTCCAGATGAATAATTCAAACCGTATAACCCACATTTTGCATAGCTTATAACTGACTACAGTTTCATTTGCTCTTATACAGCAATAATCATAGTGCAGGCATGCTTACCTTAGGAGTTCTATAATGTCAGAGAGGTCCCAAGAATCTTATTTCGTTTGAGAAACCAAGATGTCCATTGGGATAAATAAAGGATTAACATTAGGGTCTACAGCTTATCCTAAGATGCCAAATAAGAATGAGAGAAACAAAAGATGCTCCAGCCTGCCATGACCATGCACCCCAAGCCAGTCATCTACATACATTGCGTTGTATTATATTACATGACATCCTAATGATGGAGAAAGCCAGAGGGCATGGGATGTGGACAATTAATCACAGGAGCCCAGGCAGCAGAGCAGAGCAATGGTGAAAGAAAGAAGAGACAAGGGGAGAGCCCCTTGGCAGCAGTCAACTGAAAATTGTCACCCAGGTTTTCTAGGAGAAATTTTGTGTCCTTTAGAACTGACCAGAGCATCAAGATTTTGAGGTTAAATTCTAGTAACCATCTTGGTGCAATGTTCAGGAAAACAGGGAAAGGGGTGTTGGTTCATAAGTCAGAGTAGGGGGTTATCTGTATGAAAGGTCCTAATTCTACCCTAAATCTCAGGATTATATTTTTCTAATATTTCAGATACTGCCTGTCTACTCTCTTGAATAGTGAAGGTATACCTATCTAATTGCCACAAATCATCTATCAATAAAAATTCCATCAGTTGACGGTGGCTTATGCCTGTAATCCCAGCACTTTTGGAGGCTGAGGTGGGCGGATCACGAGATCAAGAGATTGAGACCATCCTGGCGTACATGGTGAAACCCCCTCTCTGCTAAAAATACAAAAAAAAATTAGCTCGGTGTGGCGGTGCATGCCTGTAGTCCCAGTCACTCGGGAGGCTAAGGCAGGAGAATAGCTTGAACCCAGGAGGCGGAGGTTGCAGTGAGGTGAGATTGCAGCACCTCACTCCAGCCTGGGAGACAGAGCGAGACTCTGTCTCAAAAAAAAAGAAAAAAAAAATTACATCAGTCATCAGTCAGTATCAACTGTTAATTAAGTGTACCTTGTACATTTTAACATTGCTAACACTACTGAAACTTCTCTGCCAGCCTTGACAGGTAAGTGCTGTCTTCATATTCTTGTTAACTCCCCCATCTGCTATGCACAGTAGACATTCACTTCTCATTTGCCTGCTAATAGTTTGTCTTTCAAGAATGGCATTCTTTTTCTTTTGGAAACTGCATCTCGATACCCTGGTTTCTCTTCAGATCATAAAGGTCTTGTGCCTGTTAAAATTGCATTTCTTCTAATCCAGCCCGGTGGCTTCAGCTCCGACCATCACGTTCACACAGGATCTCAATGTTCTGGACTCGAGAGATTGCTGCACGAGTGAGCAATGGACTCATGCAGGACCCAGACTGAGTCTCCTCAAGATTTTCTCAATTGGAAGCAAAGAAGACAGTCGACTTCTGCATGCAAATCTATGGGATGAGAGTTTGGGAAACTTCTAGCTGTGCAGTGGGGAAGAACGATGCTGGTGTGAAAAGAGCAGGTGGGAAGGGAAATGAGATGCCAATCATCACATCCAAGTCTCTGGTTCCAGCTCTACCTAAGATCCACCTGCATCTTTTTATTTCACTATGGTTTTGCTGCTCTATGCCTTTTGGGGAACACCACAGTCAATACATTCTTTTTTTAACCTTGGTAAATTTCTATTCTTTATAACCAGTGGTCTTACCTAATTCACCTCCTCTTCGACACCTTCTGCCTTAACCTGCATCTGGTTAGCTCAGGACCACTTTCTGTCTCTCTCAAGCAACAGCAATAACTGTCTATCTCACCTCCCTACCTCTGGTAAACCTCCACTCCCATTCATAGTCTATAATACAGAGAGAGAGAAGTTTTAAAATACAAATCACATCATGGCGCATCTTGCACATAAATTTTTAATAGTTTCTAGATAAAATTATCATCATTTTGAATGCCTACCATCCAAATTTCCTTTTTCTTTTTGGGAAATATCCCAATATGTATGACTTCAAGATACAAAGGACACAGCCTCTCTCAAGAAGCCACAGGGAACAGTGGCAGAGACTATTTTTCTTATGCTTCCTGGTATCTGGGGAAAGTCTTGGCTGATGGAATTAAAATCAAACCTGTGACTCAAAAAAGAGTGGCTCATTGGAGTCTTCAGTGCCAGTGTTCAGTAATGGGTCCCCAAACAGCAGTAGCAGTAATACTAATAAAGAAATTATTATTATTTTTTTTTAGCTTTGTTGGAAAAAATTATTTGTTTGTTATACAAAATTATATATATACATATATATACATATATACACACATATATATACATATATATATATACACACACACAGGCATACACAGAATGTGATCCAACCACCATAATCAAGCTAATGAACATGCCCATCACCTGACATAGTTTTCATTTGTGTGTATGTGGCGAGAGGAATGTTAGCCAGCCCATTGCCGAGGCTGGGCTTTGGCTGTGGTCTTGCATCCAGCGTCCTTTGGTCCTTTGATCCCAGGCTTGTTCTATGCCAGGTTCTCCAACCCTTCCCATCAGTTACAGGAGTTACATGCAACTTGAGCTTCTTGATCCTGTAGCCCCATATGAGAGCACTCAGTTACCCACAGTAATTAACTGCTGCCAGGGAAACGTCTCCCTCATCCAGGCGAGCAGTGGGAAGGAATGAAGGGCTACTGTGAGCACTGACCACCCGACCATGTCTCCCAAAGAGGGGGCTATATGGCGTCATGAAGGATGCACTTTAAAATCTAGTGTTCACACCTTATATAGGATCCAACTATATAAAAAGGAGTGGGGAGTAAATTATGCTAGAAAACATCAAGTTAAACTCCTTACACATCAGACCTGATTTTTTTTTCTCAGATTCCCCTTTATAAGATTAAGGCTGGGAAAAGTTTTCATGACTTCATGAGAACTTTCTGCAAAGCACCTCAGACTGTTCTGCTGAAAAGCAGGGAATTCCATTCTTACCAATCAATATTTAGCTCCCCCAGAGTTTCGTGTTCTATTTTTTTTTTTTTTTTTTGTATTTTTAGTAGAGATGGGGTTTCACCATGTTAGCCAGGTGGGCTCGATCTCCTGACTTCGTAATCTGCCCACCTCGGCCTCCCAAAGTTCTGGGATTATAGGCATGAGCCACCATGCCCGGCCTAGCTCCCCCAGAGTTTTAAAGCCCTTTTTGATTTGTCTCATCTCCTGTCCTTTTACTTTCCCATATGTTCTGCATGAATAAAAATTCATTTTCTTAGTATTCATATGATTTTTCAGCAATATAAAGTAAAAAAAATAAAATTTTTATTTCAAAGAATATTGTAGTCATCTATTTGTTTTTGCTTCAAGAACTTCTCTTTCATAATGTGTCAGGAAAATGTATTACTGTTTCTTTATCCCCTATTAGTTATAATGAACAAACTATGAGCATGTTTTATGTTTTCCATCACTTTGAAGTATTCTTAGATAAGGTTAAAATAGAAATACGTTTATTTTGGCTGGGTGCGGTGGCTCACGCCTGTAATCCCAGCACTTTGGGAGGCAGAGGCTGGTGGATCACCTGAGGTTGGGAGCTCCCGACCAGCCTGACTAACATGGAGAAACCCTGTCTCTACTAAAAATACAAAATTAGCCAGGTGTGGTGGTGCATGCTTTTAATCCCAGCTATCTCAGGAGGCTGAGGCAGGAGAATCGCTTGAACCCGGGAGGCAGAGGTTGCCGTGAACTGAGATCGTGCTACTGCACTCCAGCCTGGGCAACAAGAGTGAAACTCCATCTCAAAAAAAAAAAAAAAAAAAAACAAAAACAAAAAAAAAAAAATAGAAATATGTTTATTTTATTGGAGTTCAAATATTTTCATAGTTTAAATTAGAATCTCTTTTGAAACTATCTGCAAAAGAAACAATTTTATAAGAAAAAATGTTAAAAGCCAGTTAATATAAGAATCACAATTGTTTAATATTAAAAAGGAAAGGAAATATTAGCATTAGCAAATGTGTTATTTTATGTGAGGTGGTGGATGTATAAATTAGCATGATTGTGGTGATTATTTCACAACATATACATATATCAAAACAACAGGTTGTACAACGTAATATATAGTAAGCCCCCGCCCTCTTATCCGTGTTTTAGCTTTCTGTGGTTTCAGTCACCCACAGTCAACCACAGCCTGAAAAACAGATGAACTCAATATAGCACCATCAGATAATTTGAAAAACAGCACATTCACAGTGCTGTTTTATTTTACAGTATAGTTTTTTATTACAGTATAGTTATAATTGTTTTATTACAGTACAGTTATAATTGTAGTATTTTATTATTGTTGTTGCTAATCTCTTACTATGTCTAATTTATACATTAAACCTTATCATGGGTCTGTATGTACAGAAAAACAGAATATATGGGGTTCAGTATTATCCATGGTTACTGACGTCCAGTGGGTGCCTTGGAATGTACCCCTGCAGATAAGAGGGGATGACCGTATACAATTTCTATTTGTCAATTATACTTCAATAAAGCTGAAATGTTCGTAATGTGTTAGCTCTATTGAGGCATATAAATAAAACTTTATGTTTGGAGGACACTCTGATACAGACACATTACTAAAAATCTGGATAGGTGGCAAATTAGAGAATATAATCTAAATATACACAATGCCCTGGCCGAATTCTTCATATATATTTTTGACAGAAAATCTTATCCCTAGGTAGAATGTCCTTTCTTTTTAACTTAAATGGCCCTTACTTTCTTAAAAATTCTACTTCTCTCTCCCACAGCTTTCTTTTCTAGACTTATCATGTGTGTTCTTCCCACAGATCAACAAGTACATGGTTTCCAGGGGCTTGGTCCTGGGAAGCTTCCCCTTAAAGATTTCACTGTGTTATTTTATAAAGATGGTGTGTGAGGGGGCAGGCAGACTTTCCAGCCCTTGACAGTGGACAGCGTGTGTCCCTCTTAGGTTGTTGCAACATTGACTGGAACCCTTCCTCCCAGATTTCTGAGTGATCTCCTTTCCCTTAGACTTGCAGAAGAGAAATCATTATCCTCTTCTCCAACTTCACCATCTAGCTCTCTCTCTGCTTCCCAAGTAATGTCACAATTCTAGTTGTTTCAAAAAAACTTCTACATTTATCCTGAAGAATTTTTTTTCAAGTAAAGGAAACAAACTTGTTTCTTAACATTTCTTTGTAAATCACAAAGGACTCCTGAAAACATAGAACAGAATCAGCAAGTACTTTATTTATCCTGAAATTTATTCAATTTCTATTCAGATACCATCTTATCTTTGAAGCCTTTCCCAATACTCCAGAGTGTAGTTCCACTCCCTTGCTGCAAATGTAGCATCTGTTGTCTGAGCAATTCCTCAGCTCTCAGCACAGGCTCAGCTGCACTGTTAGTTACCTTTAGATGTATGTCCACTCATTGCAGCTTCCCAGGGTGTTGTTTTGTAGAACTATATCCATTATCTAAACACAAAATAAACTTCCAATAAATATCTATTACTTGATTGTTCTTTGTCCAAACTGACATACTGAGGAAGATAGATTTTTCAAGGATTATGGACTGATAGTAAAGGAAAATATAACAGATAAAGCATTGCTCATAAATAAAAGGACAGATTTTCTCAGATGAAAACTGTTACAGGAAGTTGACAAAAACCCTGGTTGCAAACCTAAAACACTGTGTGAAGTTATATACTACCTTTCTTCAGGAGAACTTATTACAGTGTTTTTACATAGCAAGATCCTCCTGGTATCGGTATTGAGAAACATACTTCAAGAGTTAACTTCTGTTCCGGTATGGCCGCATTTATTGTTCCGCTAAAAGATATGCATGTGTGGACTTTTGTAGAATAATACAAGGCTACTCTTTCCTGTTGGATATCAAATAAATTAAAATCACAGGAGTGCTGGCTCAAGAAGAAATAGAATGTTTGAATACATTTATTTCCATTGACAAAATTGAGCTAATAATTATGTAAAACTTCCCACACATTCTCTGATGGATTTGCAGATGAATTCAACAAAACATTACAAGGAGTAGAGAGCTCCAAACTTACACAAAATTATGTCTTCCTTTCCCTTTTTAGCAAGACAATACAGCTACTGTTTAGAAATTTTGAAGGGTTTTGTGATCAGTGTCTGTAAATGATCAATAGACATTTTTAAAAAGGTGTCTGCGTTGTAGCATTGAGAATACAATTGGATCTATCCATGCTACTAAGGTGAAGACACTTCTCAAGCTCTCATAAAATAAAGGAGGAAACACAACATCGGTAGTTGTTGTGCATTTACTTCTAGTTTTATAAATTGTAATTTTTGCTTTACAAACATTTATGCTATGATAGTTCATAATTTAAAAACTATACATATTATATTTTGATTATGAAATGTGTCCTTTGACATTTTTTAGTGCTTTTTTGTTTTAAGCTGTGGTTCTTAGCCTAAAGATGTCCTTATTTTATGATAAGATTACGGCCTCTATTAAGTTGTTCTATTATCTATTGTATCTCTCTATCCACCTACCTCCTTCTATATATTTATGTAATTGGTAGTTGCCTGGTATATGTTTGCCCATTTGTTATTTCCATCCTTTGTGGCTATTCTGTTTAAAATGGTTCATACAACTTCACAGACAGGGTTGTTAATCTCTGTTCATTTGAATGTATATGTTGGTATTACATCTATTATATAATTATTTTAAGCTTTCTGCTTTATAGATTTTTTTAAAATGGCCAAGCAGCCTGTTTCGCTGGGGTGTTATGAGCATGTGTCTGTGTTTGTGTATAGACAGATGTGCTCAGATATCTATTTCTGTTTATTGTTTCTTATAAATAAGGATTTTTTCCTTCAAGTAAATCCCCTTGATCTTTCACAGGATATTCAGTAATATCTGTTCTTTCTTATTTTTCTTCCAATAATGCCTTTATTGTTTTTATTTTTGATTCTTTTGCTTTCTGCTTGTTTCCTGAGCTCTGGCAGCTAAAATTTAATTTCTTCCCACTGCTTTGCCATCTCTTCCCTGAAATGTTGCATTCTGCCCTGGTGTTCTTATTTCACGTACATGCAAAAAAAATTATTTTGTTAGTATTTTGCTGAGATGTTTTTGACACAATTAGGCATGACTTACAATTGCTTTCTAGTTTTTTTTATGGAGAGAGCTCTTTCTTGGTCATTTTTTGTTTGTGTTGGCGTATTGTTTTCTTCTTTAGAAAAATCACGTCAATGTTCGTCAAAAGGGTCTGCTGGCATTTTGAGGGGACAATATTTACATGAGTGGCACCACCATGGTCCCTGCGGGATATTTACCATTACTGGGGCCATCTGACAGTGGCAGGAGGCAGACAATCTTAGGCAGACTGGCGCGGGCCCCAACGAAACCTGATGTTCAAGCCGAGGACAGTTTAAAGCCTAGCTACAAGTCTCGGGTAAATCCACAGACAGGATTGAGAACCCCTTTTCCCGTTTGGCATGTTTTCCTCTATTTACATATACCTAACCTTCCCTGTTTTTTTTTTTTTTTTTTACACTGCCATGCCTTTGAGTGGTGCCTTTGTTTTAGCCTTTTTTGCATACTCACAATCAGCACCCCCTCCCCATTCTGAGCCCATAAAAGCCCCAGACCTAGCCACACTGACGGAGAGACCAGCTCACTTTGGGTGGGGGACCACCCTCGCACCCACCCTCTGCTGAGAGCTGTTTCATCACTCCATAAAATTCTTCTCCGCCCTCCTCACCCTTCAATTGTCAGCACAACCTCATTCTCCTTGAACACAGGACAAGAACTTGGGACCCACCGAACACAGGGGCCGAGTGCACCCTCATGGTGGTGGCTATGGGATCCATGCTGGAGCACAAGAAAGGCGTGGAATAGATGGGGCATCTCCTCCAGTGAGCCCAGGCCCGAGCAAGGCCTGGGCAGGGGCGTTGCCAGCCAGAAAAAGAAGCCAAGAAAAATCCTGTGTCACATCCACTGAATACCAGCAGCACCCCTCAGCCACTGTGGCACCCCAAATCCCTACTTCACGTTTCTCTATGCCCTCAGGGGGAGTTGAGAAATGTGAAGAGGGGATTTTTTCAGCCTCTGATTCATAAACATCATTACAGACCCTAGAACAGACACTTTCTTATTATTCAGCATTGAAGGGAGTGAGTTTTCCTGATGCAAATATTTGTGAAAGACTTTCATGGAGGGGCCCCCTGAGACTGCTGGCCAACTGAAATTGTTCTTATGGGTCAGGTTTTATGCGTGAGTTTGTTAAACACTTGCTTCTACTCAACCAAATGGGGTAGTAAAAAGCATGTGTATTTTTGAAATGCAAAGAATCCCCTTCAATTCCTCTGAGTTTTTTTTTGTCCGATTTAGCCTTGTTTTCTCTGCTCCATGGAACCAACCCAAAACGAGAAAACCTCTAGCCAAAAGCTAATGCTCTCTTGTCACCATTACAAAAAGGAATTTAGTTTTCACCTCAGCATGTCCTGTCCTTTGAGAAGTACCATACAATCAGCTATTTCTGAGATTTGCAATCATTTCATCTTCTCTCTGCACCAAATTGCCTCTGCATCAAATTATCTCTGTTTTCTCCTAAATGCATCTGTTCTTGGATTCCAGAGCTTTGGCCACTTTTTTACCTAGAGTCGAGGTTGGCATTTTAGCTGTCTCCTCATGCACTAAAAATGGAGTTTATTAATTTTGTTTTGTTTTGTATGTTTCACCTCTTGGATGCTTTGGGTGATTTCCAAGGAGATACAGAGTAAATATTGAATTTGCATTTCCATGCTGGGGAAGCTTTTCCTCTACCCTTTGCCATGGAGTTGTGCAATTATTCCCACTAAAGCTAGAAGGCATTTCTGTCCCTTTGACTTTGATCTCAGTGATGTGACTTGCTGTGTCCAGTGGAAGGTGGATGTAAAGGACAGTCTGCCAGTTTGAAGCCCATTCCTTAAATGTCTGTGCTTGCTCCTTCTGGCCTTCCTATGCCCTGGCATTACAGGAGTAGGGGTGCCTCTGGGTCACTAGGTCATGGCTGCCCCTTCATTCTGGGTCCCATGGTGAATTCGTGTAGCATAGATGAAAACCCAATCCTCAATGAGAAGCCAAGTCCAGTTGGACCCAGAGCTTGAAGTGGAACCACCTACCTGGGCCTAGCTTTGATCAACTGAATCTCAGCTGACCTTCAGACTCATGAGCATGAAATAAATGCTAATTTTCTATGCCAGTGAGTTCAGAGACAATTTGTGATGCAGCAGCATTGTGAAAATAGCTGACAAACATACACCTTCAAACTATTAGGTCCTGTTTTCTTTTGAGCCTTACAATCAGAGTTTCAATCACACCATTTCACTTAGGCAGCTCATTTCAGGGTGAACAAAGTTTCTTCACTTGGACTCTGGTATGCTAGGTGATGTCATCAGTGCCATGACTAAACTTTTACCTATACATTGATATCATTCAGATAACTATTTAATAATTGTAGCCCAAACTTTTTCCTGAAGTCTATTCTCGTAGCCAATTCCCTTTTCTTATAAACCATTCCATTTGGATGGCTATCAAGCCTCTCAAAGTTTGTGTAAACAAAGCTCTTGTTTTTCTGTACAAATGTCTTCTTCTCTCGTATGTTCCCTCATGACAGTAAACAGCAACTTTGCTTTTGTACTAGCAAGAGATTTGATGAGTTCTTTGTTTCTTCTCATTCCCTCACTGATAATTTTCCTCAGTAATCCTTCCCTCATTCATCTTTCAACCAATTCCAAACCCTCATGACTCTGTATCAGGACATACTTTTCCACGTAAGGGCCAATATCACCCTGGTACATAGTCTAGAGAAAATATTGTGTATGTCTACAAGAAAACATCTACAAAATTGTTCAAGACATGCACATATTCTCCACAAAAACTCAATACCAGAAGCTCAGAGAGGGCAGCACACAAAGAAAGCCGCTTTTAGAAAGAAAGGGTCCCACTGTGCATACTGAGAACAAGTCTGGGTCCTTGTAGAGCAGAGAACTTGCTACTGTGAAAAAGGGGAGGACTTTGGAAATGTGCAGAACAAGGGGTGACCATCTTAGAAGGACAAAACTAAGTGACAGTAAAGCGACTTGGAAGGGGAGGTGATCGTGGGAGGCTTATGGCAAAGAAGGCAACAGTAGGAAAACAGGGCTACAGAAACCACAGGGGATTGTAAATCAGAGGACACACTAACCACTTCCACACAAACAGGAGGCCCCATGGATTATGGAAACTCTATGCTAATCCACAAATAAAAGAGGGTGTTCTCAGAGTAACATACGTAAAAGCCATCCAAAATCTCCCCCACACCCTGTTCATGGGCACATTAAAATACAAAATGTTTCAAGCAACAGAAAATAACACACAATAACAAGCCCCAGAAAATTTCCACATAAAGCTACTGAAAGAAAGCAATAAAAGAAACTGATGTTGATGAAAAATCTCCCCAAAGGTCAAACAGAAAACAAAGGAAAACACTTACAGATAACCGTACCCTTAATTAAGTATCCTTAAGCAACTGCTTGTGAATATGGGAAAAAATACCCACAGAAATGTAAAACCTTAGAAAAAAGCAGGATGTGAATTGAGGGACACTTGGACTTATGAAACAAAAATAATGAGTAAAAGTGTCAGCTTTAAGATAGAGAATAAGTTACACAATCCCCCAAAAGAATGCACATAGGCGATAAAATAAGCTTGAAATAATGAAATACAGATAAAGTATTAAAGAAGTGGATGTAAATGAAAAGTAAAGAAGATACAATATAATTGGAGTCTTTGAAGAGTGACAAAATAAAATAATATAAAGGTATGCTTAAAACTCTAATCCCATAAAACTTTTCAAAAATTAAATAATACATTAATTTCAATATTGAAAAGTCCGCCAGATATTTAAGAAAATGACCTAGAATGGTCAGTTCCAAGCTATAATCTAAATATGCTTATTTGACTTCAAAATAAAAAGGTTTCTAAGCCTCCAGACAAAACAACTAAGTCATTTACCAAACAAATAAAATCAGGTTTTCATTAGGCTTTTTGAAAGCAACATAGGGAAATACAAGCAAAGCAACATTTTAAAGAAATTGAGTAAAAGAGTTAGCCAAGTATTCAATTTATTAAGTCATCCTTCAAGTATGAATCTATTTTTAAAAAGGTTTGAAAATGTACGAATTCAGGAAATACTGAACTCAAGAACTCTTCATGAGGAATCTCCTAGAGGGTGAGCTTCTTCCAAGCAAAAAGCGGCTGGGGAACTTTCAGCACAGATAATTGTTGGGTGCTGAACACACCCAGCATGGATCTAAAAGCAGATCAATGATGAGGTAAGAGCAGAAGCATAGTCAGACAAAGTAAAAGCAACAAAATTAAACAAATGATAGAGGACAAAAAACTTAATTAAATTTTTTGATTGTTACCTCAGTAATTATTAGACATTATTTACATCTGAAAAGCACATAGCAAAAGGTGAAGTTAGGAGGAACAAAAGACTAAGGCCATTATATAAAGTATTATTTAAAGGTAATCATTAGAACAAAAATTCAAAACTTTGAAAATACAGTAAGTAATGAAAAAAATAAGGATCTAATAAAGAAAAAATAGTTAATATAACAAAAATGTACAATAAACATAAAAGTGTATGATCTATAAATAAATGTAAATGAAAAAGTGAACTTTTTTTAAGTTTGTTTTGCATGGAGAAGTCTAACTACGGTACTGTAGAGAAGAGATGCAACTAAAGGCAAAGAGATTTGGAAAAAACAAAAGTTAATGAATGGGCACGGGTATTACAGAGCAAGTGCAAATAATTAGAAAGCATGGTTGCAAAAGACAAGGTAAAAAGCCAAAAATCTTTAAATGAGTAAAAATTAAAATAAAGAATACTTTATTTAAAAGGTCCTAATTCACAATAAAGATACAATGTTGAAAAACATCTATGCACCAAATAATATAGAAACCACCATCATAAAACAGAAACTGCAGAACATGCAACAAGAAATGAAACATCAAAAGACCCACATTAAAGAGATTAACACATCACCCTCAATCCAGCACAGGTCAAAATAACTAAAAATAAGTATGAATATGGGCAGTGTGCATTACCAAATCAATTCAGTAAATCTTATTCATATATATCCAACTTTATTTTCAGATAAAAGAGAATATGCCACCTTCTCAAATACACATGAAACGTCTAAAAACAAAACCAAACCCACCATGTTAGGATGAAGAACATATCAGTAAGTTTCATAAAGTTGAAGAGTAAATGAAATTCTACAGCAACTATGCCAGGGTAGCACACACAGGACATGGTCTGAGCACCAAGGGGCAATGCAGACAACAGCAGGAGCACATAGATCCCATGACTTTGCAGTGCAGTCAGTGAATACTGGCTATATCATCTTCCTTTAGCCTTTCAGGTAAACACAACTGGCTGAATTTAGTCTGTATTTTGCCCATGGCTTATAGTGATTTCTGCAGCCTTACTAATATTTCACACTCCTAGGACAAACTTTCACAACCTTTCCTAATTGGCTGGGGTCATAACTGGAATGTGATTTCTTCCAATTACACTCAGACATTGACCTACAAATTTCTAGGCCTACCAATATATCTCAGAGGCTTCATAGCCCTGTATCATATACACTGCTGGTGATAACTCCAAGTTTCAAGAATGGTTATTTCTGCTTGGCGTCAAACTTAGCTGCCTAAAGCACATACAAAGGTTCTCCTTGACATTTTGCGTCCATGATTCATATTATGTTATATATGTGTTTTAATAATTCCCTTAGAGAATTATTTCCTTTCAACAAGACACAAAATGCTGAAAAGTTTAGCATATTGCATACTACACTTCTGATGTTTTTCCAATCTTTTTCCGAGTCACCACATGCCTGTATGGGTGTTCCATTATGATTAATTAAAAAACAGATAATATATCACTGTGGTTTTATTAAAACACCATCTTCTACATAAATCTCTGAAGGCTTTCAGATTACTTCCCATAATGCCAGGAGAAAACTGAAAACGGAGGTTTCCATTGAAAGTCATCCTTGAATTGAAATATTTCAAAACAATCCTGAGACTTCTATTGGCTGAATAATTTCAACTCCATTCTTACAGGTATTTCCTTTCTCTCCCTGTATTTCCTTTCTCCTCTGGACTCCTGCAGCACCTGAGCCACGTGCCTCAGCCTCAGATAATACCAGCTATTTTCCTCCAGTTATTTCCAGCCAAGCACTAAAGAAAAATCACATAAACCTTCTGAGTCACTTTTCTACACACTTGTAGATTTTTTTCCCATTTTTAATTTTTAAATTTTTACTGAGAGTTTTCAGTATAATTTCACAAGCCCTTGATTAGCTGTTTTCTATCCCCTGAGGTGGCTCTTTCAAATCCTTGACCATGATTTCCGGGACCCTGTTTTCCCCCAATTCTAGTTAGTTATCATCACTATCTAGTTTTCAGGCTTGAACAAAAAACATAGAGGATGGATAGATTTTCATACTCCCCTTCATTCCAGACCCCTTTACATCCCCCAACTCCCCTCTGTGCGCTTTGCCAGCTGCCTAACTTAGAGGCAGTTTCTGGAAGCACTCTCCAGTCAAAAGACTGCAGGCAAATTGCTGTCTCAGAGTTGGGTTGCTGGGGAACCTAATTCGCGGGCACTGCTAAGTTTCAGCCAGGAAGAGGTGCTTAGAACCTAGTGTGGTAGAATAGCTGGAATCTGGAGCACATGAAGGGGTCATGGTCACGAGTAGCCAAGGGAGGAGGAACGCTATGTAGCTCTGAAGAGAAAGGTGAGAGAAAATACTTCACAGTAGGACAAAGAAGAAGCCATATGGATAGTTGAACAAGTGTAGATGATTGATTTCTTCATTGATGTCCTTATTCATTCATCCATTGCACCATGGTATGGATTTTTTTCCCCAAACAAATCACTTTAATTCTGAGACACTGTTCAGTTGCCTGTGGCTCTCTCTTGAGTGATAGGCCTCTGCAGTCATTATTTAAGACATGTCCAGCGGATGCTACAAGATCCCAGGAAAAAAAGTTTTCTTTCCTCTTACGTTGGAGTCCCTGGGACTGCTCCACCACCTGGAGAGAAAATCCTTAGGACGTCCAAAATAGTCCCAGACCTCCAGGGCTCCAAATTTGGAAAACACTAATTCAGAAATGGAGTTGCTGATATTGTTGGGGTATCTGTTCCATTAGTCATTTCCAAGGATGTGAAGTTTAGCAAGATTGGAACGAATAGAATCCGTTGATTCAGTGCAATTTGGAGAGGGTTCTATTTTGAGTTTCAAAGACTTTTAAAATCATGCTGTTGAAATGACGCTGAGAATTCTGAGCTATTTCAAAAATAGAGGAATGCAACTCGCACGGATTTCTTTAGCGTCTGTGTTTCCCGGTATTCCTGAACAGGTTTCAGTAACATTGGATAAAACTCCACGATCTCGCTGAACTTCAGAAAGATCTGTCATTTCCATATATCCTGGGATAATATGCTCAGAATCCACAGCTGTGGACTGATGCTGAGAACTTCGAAATAACAGGAGTTCCACTTCAGGAATTTGGGTTGAAGCTGCAAAAATGACTTCCTTATTCTGCACTTACTTATAAAGCTCATTGTTCTTACTAAAATTGGGAGTCTATTTGAGAAAGATGTCTTGTGGGCAGAAGGTTGGCTGATGGCAAAAATGTGGTGATGAAGAGACCCCAAGTCGTCACTGACCTATGAATATGTTCTGCTGTTGTGATTTCCAAACTAAAATACTCCTAGAAAAAGCGTCCCTGAATAATCTTATCTTACTAATTTACCCAAAATAGGTCATGTTCAAGCATCATTTGTCTCCTACCAGAGCACTTTTACTTGTGGTTCTTGCTGAGTATTTCTTTCCAAAACTCCTTAAGAACGTCTCCATTTCACTCCGGCTGGTTCGCTTAATATCACGATAAACCCACTGAACAAACGTAGGCTCCACCCTGCTGTCATTCAATCAGTGAGTCCTTATCTGGTTTTACACAGGTCTACCTACTCCACCTGTTCTCGGAGACTAAACCCTCCTTTTATGTTCCTCGGGCCTTTTCCCACCCATTCTGATCCAAGACCTCTCACCAGCGAAACATTATGATGCTTATTTTAAATCAATATTTCATTATGTGTCGTAAAATACCTACATCTCAGTATGCGATTTTATAATTTGCAAAAACTGTATACGCCCATGTCATCAAAATCTCAATAAAGATGGAGAATATTGTTTCTCATTTCTCATTGTGGCCAATTCTCCTTCTCCTGTCACAGGTACAACTATTTGCTTATTTTTGCTATCACAGATTAGATGTACTGTTTTTTTTTTTTTTTTTTTTTTTTTTTAAGAAAGTGTCTCACTCTGTTGCCCAGGCTGGACTTCAGCGGCGCAATCATGGCTTCCTGTAACCTCAAACTCCTGGCCTTAAGAAATCCTCCCACCTCAGCCTCCCAAAGTGCTGGGACTACAGGTGTGTCACTGCACCAGGCCCTAGATTTAGTGTTCTTACACTTCACATAAAGATCATGATTTTCTCAATGTAATATTTCTGTGCTTCAGAGAGTGTATCAGGAACCTGTTCCTCTTTATTGTTATGTAGTATTTTATTGTACAAATATACCATACTATTTATTTAACCATTTTTCCTGCTGAAGGATATATGAGTTGCTCCCAGGTGGAGATTATTATAAGGAGCATATGCTTGTATGAGTTTTTAGTCGAACGTATGTTTTCATTTGGGGGCCGTGAATAAATAAGGATTGGAATTACTGGATTATAAGGTAGGTTGTCTAACTTTATGAGAATAATATATACCAAACAGTTTTCCATACTGTTTGTAACATTTAAAACTCCCACACCAATGTGTGCAAATGGCAGTGGTTCTGCATCCTTGCCTGTATGCTGTTATTTTTTTTTTAATTTTAGCTGTTCTGATAGGTATTAAATTGCACCATTTTATGCTTTCAATTTGCATTTTCCTAGTGAATAATAATGTTGAGCATCTTCTTATCTGCTTATTCGTCATTTGGATATTCAATTTTTTTTTGTAGTGCCAAAAATGTCTGCCCCTTTTTAGTTGTTTGCTTTTTATTATTGATTTGTAGGTGTTATGTCTGTATTCTGGATGTGAATGCGGGTGATAGGCATGTATTACATATGTTATCTCCCACATAGGGGCTTGCCTAATCCATTATAATGGTTACTTTTGGTGAGCATGAGTTTTAAGTATTTAAGAAATGTAGTTTCTCACCCCTTCCCCTGTGGGTTTTTTGTTTGTTTGTTTGTTTGTTGACGTTCAGTGCCTTTTGCATTATGTCTCAGAAATCTTCCTCCTGCAAGATTGCAGAAATATTCTACTATGCCATCAATGTGCCTGAAAGTTTTCATTTTTAATAATTAATTTTAACACTCAATCTAGGATTTATATTTAGGTATGATGTGAGATACAAACAATATTTTTCTTCATATTTATTTCCAGTTTATCTAGCAACATTTTCTGAATAGATTCTTCTTTCTCCATTAAAACACATTGCTGTTATTTTCCTTTTCTCTCTTGTTATCCTAACTAGTCTTGCTAGAGATTTGTCAATTTTATTAACATTTTTAAATATCCAACTTTGGACTTTGTTGATTTTCTCTATCATTCATCTGTTGGCTGTTCCATTTTTTCTCATGTATTTATCATTTTGCTTCTTCTATTTACTTTGGGTTTATTGTTTTATTATTTTAATAGTTTCTTCACGTGGAAAATTAAATTTTTTAAAATTTGGAACTGTTCTTCTTTTCTAATATGAGCATGTAAAGGTATGAATACCTCTCTTACCAATCCTGAAGATGTGACTCATCAATTCTGAGATGTTGTTAATATTATTATTAGGAAGTACAACATATCTCTAATAGTTCATGTTACTTCCTCCTTAACCTGTAAAGCTATTTCAAATGCACTGTTGAATGTTTAAGTATGTATGGCTTTCCTAGTTATGTCATGGACTGAATTGCATTCTCCCCAGATTCATACGTAGAACTTCTAATCCCCAGTCCCTCAGAAGGTGACTGTAATTGGAGATAGGTTCTTTAAAAAGGTAGTTAAGTTAACTTAAGTTTATTAGGGTAGGCCCTGACTCAATATGACTGTTGTCCTTAGAAGAAGAGATTTGCACACAGACAGGAATAGAGGGAAGACCATGTGAAGACGCAAGGAGAAAGTGCCAGCTACAAGCCAAGGACAGAGGTCTCCAATAAAAACAACCCTGCTTACACCTTGATCTTAAAATTCCAGCCTCCAGAATTATGACAAGACACACTTCTCCCATTCAAGCAATACAGTCTGTGGTAATTTGTTATGGCAGCCCAAGCAGACGAATACATTTTATTTGTCACTGGTTTCCTACCCAAGCCCATCGTGGTCAGAGAATATATTTGGTATGAGTTCAGACCTTTGAGATTTATTAAAATTGGTTTTAGTGCCCAGCATATGGTCTCTACTGGTAAATGTTATGTGTGCATTTAAGAATTTGTATCTATTTACTGGGGTAGTCTTGTGAGTGTTATTCAAATCTATATAGATATATTTTTTAATCTCTATTTTCAAGTCACTGAGAAAAGTGTGTTAAATCTTGAACTCTGATAGTGGATTTTTCTTTCTCTGTCACGTAAATGATTTTTTGCATGAATAAGATCATCCTATGATGTTATATTGTTTTCAGCTTTGTGTCCATAACAATGTAAGCTATTCAGTGGCTTTTCTGTACATCTTCGTGCTCCTAAGAGTAATGAGTGTATGTCTGTGTTTGCATCGAAATCACCCTCTCCCGTGCGTGCATGCTCTCTCATGCTATGTATGGATGCAATTTTAGATGGATAGATGGATGGATAGGTGGGTGGATGATATTTTCAAAACTACTGTGTGATGCCCATTTCTAAAAGACTGTCTTGTTTTTCCTTATCTTGGGCTGAAACCTTCAATGTTGGATTTAATCATAGTCCGATGCCTACATGTTCTTCACTGGCATCTGGAAGAAGTTATTTAAATAATGAACCCCTGGTACTGATGAGAGTTTGAATCTCAACTGACCAATAAGTTGAGAACTCATGAGTAGAACAGAGGCAATATATTTCTGAAACCCCAGAGCTTATATAATAGCAGACCCAACTTCTGCCTCCAATACAAAGAAGCTACTAATAAAGCTGATGGCAGACGCAGGGACTCCTGAAGAGGAGCAGGAAGCACATCTGCATAAGAGATGGAAGCATTGGGATGTTCCCAAAAATAAAAAGTCCAGAAAAGGGATATATGGTGTATGAATTAATGACATGGGAGGAATCACTTATAGAAAAATATTTATTTTAAAAACAAGGACGAGTAGTGGTTTGTAATTCTGCTTGAAGAGGTCCTTCACATCCCTTGTAAGTTGTATTCCTAGGTATTTTATTCTCCTTGAAGCAATTGTGAGTGGGAGTTCACTCATGATTTGGCTCTCTGTTTGTATGTTATTGGTGTATAAGAATGCTTGAGATTTTTGCACATTGATTTTGCATCCTGAGACTTTGCTGAAGTTGCCTATCAGCTTAAGGAGATTTCGGGCTGAGATGATGGGGTTTTCTAGATATACAATCATATACACCATGGAATACTATGCAGCCATAAAAAATGATGAGTTCATGTCCTTTGTAGGGACACGGATCAAGCTGGAAACCATCATTCTCAGCAAAGTATCGCAAGGACAACAAACAAAACACTGCACGTTCTCACCCGTAGGTGGGAATTGAACAATGAGAACACATGGACACAGGAAGGGGAACATCACACACCGGGGCCTATTGTGGGTGGGGGGAAGGGGGAGGGATAGCATTAGGAGATATACCTAACGTTAAATGATGAGTTAATGGGTGCAGCACACCAACATGGCACATGTATACATATGTAACAAACCTGCACATTGTGCACATGTACCCTAAAAATTAAAGTATAATAAAACAAAAACAAAACAAAACAAAACAAAAAAAAACAAGGATGATATACATCTGATCTAAAATGCTAGGCAGTACAAGTTTGAATGAAGTTTAGGATGTCAGCATCACATTTTCACATTGACTTTTAGCTGAATAACTCTGTCACGATCTTTCACTTACTTCGTCTTCCTTCTGCATGCATTTGATATTTGATAGTAAGCTAACAAACTCTTACGATGGACTGTGTGGCTTGCACAGGGACTCTGTTCAATAGGCAGTCATGCAATAGAAAATGAATGTTGCTTACTTTTGGATGATACTTTAAGAGATCCTATCTATTTTAGTATCTAATACAACATGGGATGTAGAGTTGTTCCTGTATTCAGTATTTGTGAAGTGTCCTTAACTTTTTTCAAGGTTCTGCCAATATTTTTATGCACAGAATCTCTCTCAAAGAGATAGACATCTTCATAAGTTACATAATAAAATGCTGTCTCTGATGACAGTTATATAGTTACAATGTTATTGAAATTTGAGTCATGCACATTGTCTTGTACCTGAGGGATCAAACAACTTTTTAAGAAGGGAAGAACAGTGCAAAGGGGGCCTTAAAGGACACAGATTGGAAACCGTATTTAGGAAAAAATGTTGAAGATTACAAAATTGCAAAGAAAGAAACTGAAGTCATTAAAATATCAATTGAATTTGATCATAAAGTCAATGGCTGAGGTTAATAATAATTTTTAAGTGGTCAAAGTAAAAACAAAACATATTGAAAAAGACTAAGAAAACTAGACTATTCTAGGGTTTGAGCAGAGAAATCTATATACTCATGGTTCTGATGAGGAAAGATTAATCTGGTAACTGCTACAAAATTCCTTGCAGAATCATACAGATTATAACACCTCCACTCTGGCTGTGGAATAGTAGCCCACATCTATGACTGTAAGTACTATTGAGAATTGTTAAAAGTTCTTAGTCAACTTTTTCTGGGTAGTATTGTGATAAGAAATGATCCCCAAATCTCAGTAGCTTAGAATAACAGAAGTTTATTTTATATTTATATAGCAATTCCTTCAGCAGAAATGCTGTTCCACATAATTCTATTCTAGGCTGAAGGGGAAGATTCTAGCAGAACAATGTCAGTCTTTAGATGAGGGAATAGAACACAATGTTTTGCACAGCTACTGCTCAGACATAACATATATCCCTTTTAATTATATGTCTAAGCCTGTGATCGATGGAGTCATCAGTATAGTCTTCCCACCATTTGAAGTTAGCCATGTCTTATGGACTGAACTGTGTCTCTTCAAAATTCTACGTTGAGGCCCTCACCCGCAATGTGGCTGTATTTGGAGATAGGGCTTTGAAAGATAATTAAGGTTAAATGAGGTTGCAATGGTGGGGCCACAATCTAATAGGACTGTTGTCATTTCAAAAAGAGGACAAAGGCCGGGCATGGTGGCACACGCCTGTAATCCCAGCATTTTGGGAGGCCAAGGCCGGTGGATCTCCTGAGGTCAGGAGCACGACACCAGTCTGGCCAATATGGTGAAACCCCGTCTCTATTAATAATACAAAAATTAGCTGGGCATGGTAGAGCATGCCTGTAATCTCAACTACTCGGGAGGGTGAGGCAGGAGAATCGCTTGAACCTGGGAGGCGGAGGTTGAAGTGAGCCAAGATCACACTATTGCACTCTAGCCTGGGTGACAAAAGCGACACTCCATTTAAAAAAAAAAAAAAAAAAAAGACAAGAAAGACAAGACAGACTTCTCTTTCTCTCTTCACACATGCCGAGAGGAAATGCCTGTAGGAATAAGTGGTTATCTACGTGCCTGGAAGAGAACCCTCTCCAGGGACCAAATTGGCCAACATCTTGATCTCGCACTTTCAGCTTCCAGAACTGTGAGAAAATAAGTTTCTGTTGCTTAAACCACTCACTCTGTGGTATTTTATTATGGCAGCTTGGGCTGACGAATACAGATTTTGGTACTAAAATTGGAATGCTGCTATAACAACTATCTAAAAATGTGGAAATGGATTTGGAACTGGGTGATAGGTGGTGGCTGGAGGAAAGTTGCTCAGTGTGCCAGATAAAGCCTAGACTACCATGATTGCCTGTTGTTAGAAATATGAGCATTCAAAGTGATGCTGGTGAGGATTCAGAAAGAAATGAGGAGACATGGACAGAAAGCACACATCTTCTTAGAAAATACTATGAAAAATCATGAACATCATGATGGTAGAAATATGAACATGAAAGGTGCTTCTTGTGAGGTCTGAAAGAGAAGGAGGAAGGCATGATTGGGAACTGGAGCAAAGATGAGCCTTGTTATAAAGTGGCAAAGAACTTGGCTGAATTGTGTTCACGTTCTACTGTTTTGTGGGATGTAGAAAAGGCAGACCATGAAGTTGGATACTTAGCTGAGGATATTTCTAAGCAAGGCGTTCAAGGAGTGGCTTTGTTTTTCCTCACTGCTTATAGTAAAATGCAAAAAGAGAGAGAAAATTGAAGAAATTGTTAAGCAAAAAAAGAACCAGAACTTGAAGATTTGGAAAATTCTCAGCCTATCCATGTTAAGAAAAAAAAAAAAAAAAAAAGGAGAGAAAGTGTGTTCAGAAGAGAACACTAAGGGTATGTTGACACAATCATTTGGTATGGAGATTAGTATAGGTTCAATCATAGATCTAATCACATATCAGTATATATCTAGGAATAGAGGTGGATTTATACCAGCAGAGAAATGCCCATTTTGAATCAAAGGGAACAGAGAAAGGAGGAGACGACAGAAGCCTTTTGGCCCTCTTAGCTTCCACAGGACCAGACAATAGAATGATGATGCTATTCAGGTGTCTACGTGTGCTATTCTCCAAGAAAAGAAACGAATTATTCCAAAGGCAATTCAGAAACCACCAAGGTTGCCCCTCAGTTTCAAAACTTGGGGCCACTATCCCTCCTTCATCATAAGAAGCTGCTGTTGCCTGGAGTCCTGGGTGTGGTGCCCTCAGCAGCGCCTTGAGAGCCAGACCACCACCCATAACTATGGGATCAGGGACCACCCCAGTGGGCCTGGAGGGCAGAGCATCCGAAGAGGAGTATTCCTGAGCCCTAAGAACTCATGGAGTTTACCTTGAGAGGTATTACTTCTACTTAGGAACTGTCATCCTTCCTATTTCTCTCTTTTGGGATGAAAATGTCTATTCCATGCTTGTTCTGCCATCATATTTTGGAAGCTGTATTAGTCTGTTTTCCCGCTGCTGATAAAGACATATTCAAGACTGAGTAATTTGTAAAGAAAAAGAGGTTTAATGGACTCACAGTTCCACGTGGCTAGGGAGGTGTCACAATCATGGCGGAGGGCAAAAGTCATATCTTACATGGCAGCAGACAAGAGAGAATGAGAGCCAAGTGAAAAGGGAAACCCCTTATGAAACCATCAGATCTTGGGAGACTTGACTCACTACCATGAGAACAGTATGGGGAAAACCGCCCCCACGATTTAATTGTCTCCCACTGGTTCCTTCCCACAACTTGTGGGAATGGTGGGAGCTACAATTCCACGTGAGATTTGGGTGGGGACACAGACAAACTATATCAGAAGCACAGAACCCTTCTGGTTTCACAGGTTCACAGCTGGAGAGCAATTTTGCTTCAAGATGAATAGTACCTTGACTCTCATCCCTATCTAATTCAGATACCATTTACGTGAGACTTTGGACTTTAGACCTTAGAGTTGATGCTGTAATGATTTAAAATGTTGGAGCTTTAGGGATGGAGTTAATATATTTTGCACCTGACAAGGACATGAATCTGGGGAGTGCAGAATGCTATGAATTGAATCGTGTCCTCTCACATTCATGTTGAATCCCTAATCCTGCATGTGACCATATTTGCAGATAGAATCTTCAGGCAGTAATTAAGGTTAAACCAGGTCACAAGGGCAGAACTATAATTCAGTAGGACCAGTGGTGTTTAAGAAGAGGAACACATGGCCAAGAAGAGTGGCTTCACCAGCAATGGAATTGGCTGGCACTTTGATTGGAGACCTTCAGCCTCTAGAACTCTGAGAAAATAAGTTCCTGCTGTTAGGTCTGTGGTATTTTGCTGTGGCAGCCCAAGCAGACTAACATTCCACAGTAGTGTGATTTACTTTGGCCAAGGAAATGGTACAGAAGTGACCTGTGTTGCTTCTGGCCCACAGCCTTTAATCGTCATTGCAAAACAACACAATGCCCCCTTTTCACTGACATAATCCCCAACCATCTCATGTCGGATATGTAACATACAAAAGAAAAAATTGTTTTAAGCACTGATTTGTTACTAGGCGTAACCTACCCCATCATGGCTTATGCAACCAAACTTAAAGTTATATTGTGAGATAAAATGACTTAGCTGTACTAGCAAGAACCAGAGTGAGGACTCAGATCCAGGTGTATCTGACTCTCATGTCCAGCTCCATCCCAGGATGCCATGCAACTGTCATTTATTCATGATTGAATAATGGTTAATTAGCAGCAATGTGTAAATGAGGAAGGACAGGGGATGAGTAGCCACTGTGTAACTTAATGAAGGCTCTCAATTTGCTAAAGAATAGAGAGCTGGGTAGAGAAAGAAATAATTAAATGGCAGAATTTATGCAAAGTCAAAGTTGGTCCTGAAATCTGTATGTAGGATGAGTGTTAAGAAAAATTAACACAAATAAACAAACAAGGAAGCACAGATTTGCAGGAGGACATAGTGAATTCTGAGCTAGGCATGATGATGCAAGCTCATAGTGCCAGATACTTGAGAGGTTGAGGTGGGAGGATTGCAAGAGCCCAGGAATTCCAGGCTGTAGTGCACTACGATCAGGCCCGAGAATAACCACCTCACTCCAACCTGGCAACATAGTGGGACCCCATCTCTATTTTTTTTATTTTAATAGAAGAAGATAAAGAGTTCGGTTGATCAATAATTGAGTATCATCAGGATCTCAAATGAGGGCACCTAGGAGATAGCTAGGAATACAGGACTGGAGCTATGGGAGAAAGACATGGGCTGAGAATAATATCTGTAGGCTATTCCCATTGAAGTAACTAGTAAGATGAAAATGGATGAGATTAATAACAAAATATAGACAGGAGCCAAACAAGACAAGTAAGGATATGGAAAGAGGTATAATCATTGAGGCAAAAACAAAAAAACAAACAAACAAACAAACAAAAACCCAGACAACTACAGGAACCAAAGATAGAGGAACTTAAGAGAGAGAGAGAGAGAGAGAACATAGAATTCAAGATCTGTGGAGATAAAAATATCTAAAGGACTTACAAAGAAAGCTAATTGTTAAGCCATGACTAGGAAGTAATCTGTCACTTTATGGTGAAGGGAAAGAGAAACTGTATATTTTTATTGATATTCACTTTGGTCTTAAACAAATCAGAGAAAAGGTAATATCATGAAATGAAGCTAAGACCTGTTTTATTACAGTCTAATGAAACAGTGTATATCATTTAGTGCATATATTTGTGTATGCGTAAGCTGCACACTGAGTCCTGAGCATTTAACTGTCACTAAGAAAAAGGAACTATTTTCATAAGATCATTCATAAGAAAGACAAATAAATTACTTGGAAACAGCATAACCATTATCAGTGTAACTAACCACAATTCTCTCATACGGGTCTTTTCTAAAATGCCATGTATTATGATAAATAATATTCTCAACAACATGCTTAGAAAAAAATATATAGTCATTTTTGTCTCTTAAGCTCACCTACTAAGCCTCAATACAATCTTCTAGCATTCCACAAAAAAAAAAAAAAAAAAAAAAAGACAATGCAGAAAACATTGAGTGGGTAATTGGGGATGCTTATTTGACTTTCATTTTTTAGATATTCTTAGCTTATTCCATGGATTTTTTAGGATAAGGGAGAGAAGTGTAATTGGATGCGGGGAAGAGACAGAGAGACAGACAGGGAGATGGGATGGGGGAAGAAGACAGAGAGAGGGAGAGAGGGATTCCAGAGGGAAGGAAATATTGAAAGAGAGGGCTAATTTCTGGATCCAGAGGTGAGTCAGGAAAGGACAGTGGCAGTGGCCAATATTAAAAATGAAGAGCATGGTCTTAGAGAGAAGATTAGTCTTTCTCTTACACTGAAGGAGAAGGGAGTATACAGTGACGTTTTTAGACACAGAGGAAAAATGTTGAAGTAGAACAAATAAAATGAGTCAAATTTTTCAGTAAATTATTTATCCAATTGTTGGTACCCAGTAGCTGCTTATTAAATTGAGTATGCTGGGTTCTTTTTCCTTAAATATACCAGTCTTATCAAGGTGAATGAAAAAAAGTATAAAACTTATAAAATTTCAACTAGGGCATTTGAGCTCTTTGGGAGGTGGAATTTTGACATGTTAAGCAAGTTGTCACTTTGAGGTAGCCAATATGTGTTTTCCTCACCTGCAAACTCAGCACCTTCTTTTTGTTTTTTTTGTTTGTTTGTTTGTTTGTTTTTTAATACATTGCCTGTAAAGTTTCTCCCCGTGGTATCACTGTATCTTAGAACAAAAATAAAACAAAACAAAACAAAATAAAATAAAATAAAATAAAATAATAAAATAAAATGAAATAAAAATAAAAAAGTGGGTTCCAAAATAAATGAGGAAACAATTCAGACGATCTCTTAGCACCTAAGAGGTTGACATTTCTTTTTGTACTGTAAGCACCATGAACCCTGTAATTTGTGGGGAGGGGACAGGGTGCATTTACCATTGTGACTATTATAACGGCTGCATGCTTAAATTCCCAAAATAAGCCAAGTTCTGTTTCAAGCAGGTGCTACCTCTAACCTAGCAAGCCCTGCTCCCAAGCTGATAGTGTGACCAAAATTTAATAGTGCCAAGTTGCCTTCAGTGTCTCCTTGTAAGGTGTTTTCGAAAGGCAAGAGTGATCTCACACAGAAAGATTAGAGGAGGCCCTTGGAAACTGCTCCAAGCTACTTATTAAAGGAAGCAGCAGAGATAATTGAAAGTAATTTTGCCAAACTTAAAAGGGCGCTGAACAAAACATGAAGGTGTAAGAGCAAATCAAATTCTGCTGTTAGCAGAAACCCAACTCCGCAGCTATTTCCAAAGAATGAGTTCTCCGAATGGATTCAAAACATGAGTTAGAAAGAGCTACAGTTCGGTCTTTTAAAATATAAATAAACAGTTATTCCAACAAGTTTCCACATTAAGAGGAAATTGCAAAGGATTCCAAAAGTGAAACGGAAAGAAGAAGGAAAAAATCAATGGGAATAATTCAAATGACATACAAATAAATATTTTTATCAGTTATCAAGTATTTTTCATAGAAAATGGACTGTAAGGCTTACAGCACATACCGAAATGACTGGACGAATGAAAAACCTGAACGGGTAGCCAATAGCGGGGTTTGTCACTCACTAAAATGGACACATTTGCTCAAATATGCCTTTTTCCCCTAAAATCATACCCATTCGTTCGGTGTTTATTCATTCCTCTCTGATGCAGACACATATTGAAGAGCAAGTTGATGATGGGAAATACACTAGATCTTGGTAGGATAGAGGCTGGGTGGTGAATGGAGGGAAATGAGGATAATATAGAGCAATGGAAAGGGTTTATTCATTAAATTCGAAAAGGTGATTTTTTTTTCCTTCTCCAACCTAATCACAGCTCTATTGCCCACCTCTTTGTTCCCTTTGGAAGCGGCTCCCCAAAGAGGTTGTTTATTCCACACACAAGCACGAACGTGTAGACCATGGCGTCCTATCATGAATTCCACCCCCGAGTCCCGTGGAAGTTGCACTTCCTAAAACTGCATTCCCTCCTGTAAATCTGAAGAACACTCTTGTATGACTTTGTATCAATGGCTGCTTCAGTACCCTCTGCTAGATATATATTTTCACCCTACTTCATGTCCATTCAGAAGATGGAAAACATGCCAGTTACAGGAATAGAGGTGAATTAATATAAAAAAAAGATAACTAGGTACAGTTAATGAGTTGACAGAGAGATTAAAGAGAGCTGCAAGCTTTCCCTGAGGTAGCAACCTCTCCGGGCAGGAGTTTGCCATCTATCCCCATGGCTTCTGTCCCTGCTGCGCACCACGTTTGTGGCGGACAAAGGTCAGAGGCAGCTGGAAGGCAGGCGAGACTGAACGCTGCTTCTGTTGACTACCATAAGCGACTAAGGTCCCAGATACGTTCTACAGCAGAGACACCCGAGCTGTTGTCTCTTATTCCTTTGGCCAGCATTTACTTTGCTTTCTCTTTCATAAGAGCTGCAAAATGTGGCACTGGATCATGTTATCTGAGATGAATAAAATCACAGGCTATCAGTACCGGTGGAAGGATATATGACATCCTTTAATACAATGGCACCTCATTTTAAATCGAGGCCATTGAGGCCCAGAAAAGTTACATTATGTTTCCTGAGTTCACAGTCCTATAAAATAGCAAAATGACTAAAACTTACTTCTTTAAAACTATATCATAACATGCTTGCCAGAAAATCTAAACTCAAACTCTACCATCCACCCAATTTCATCTTCCCCAGAAGAGAGTTGTCCCTTCTCACGTTGGCAGCAGGATGGGCACATAAGAACACAATAAAAATAGTTCTTGATTCTTGCAAACTTATGAGCTATAAAATTCCATAAACACCAGCAAAAATAATGACATCTTTTTTTATTCTTTACTATTCGATCTCACTCTTAAAAATAATCATGTTCATGTTTTTAATGTTTTTATAGTAGCGTTCACTCACTCGTGTGATTCATTGCTTTCATACAGGTATTCTGAGATCCTATATCTGCAGAACGGAGTCAGAGCCACAGAGGAAACACATACCCACATTGCAAATTCAGTTCTGGAAGATGCCCCCAAAGGTGGAATTGAATTCTCTGTGTTCAGCATATACACATGGTGCAAGGCACTTCCAAATGAATGTAACAAGTCTGGGGTCTGGCCTTTAGTGGTGACAGAGATTGGAGACAGATGAGAACGATTAAGTGCCACCAAAAGGATAGCTTTTAATACTAACTTCATAGTAACCAAGCTTCTGATTTCTAGTGGCGTCAGGGAATTAGATATTCATGCCTGAGTCACCAGAATATCATTTCTGTAGGTAGACAGTGGGAGATTGCATATTGTTCAAAACTCACCCCTCCCCTCTGACCTTCATTGAGAGAAGTCTACTTGCCTGCCCCAAGTCCACTCACTCGCTTTCACCAGTGGGACATTAGGAGATGTGACACCAGCAGGGACTTATCCCATGTGTCTGAGCTGGGTTGGCGATCTGTGCCCTGCATAGTCTTGATTAGAGCTTTCCCTGTAAAGCTGCTGCCTCTTCAACCGGAATCAATTTTGCAAGAAGCAGTTCTAACCAGCTCTGCAAGTTGAAGCAGAGCCACCCAGCTGAGCCCAGCCTAAAAGAACCAGTCCACGGTCACCCCTCAAACATGAGACTAAGAACGAATAAATATTATCATAACTCACTTGTTTTGGGCACGATTTTTTTATACAGCATTAGCATGGCAATACCTGACTCATCCACAGACCTAAATGGGAAATCAAATCATCACTAGCATTGTGTTTGATAAGTATGGAATTACTACCTGCTGGAGAAATAAACTAGATATTTAATAACTTGAGGTAAGGCCTTCCTCCAACATCCATCTAAAAGTAGAGGCATTACAGATGAGACCAGTATAGTCAGAGTAGTGTGGCTTTTGTTCCTTGTCCATCATATCATGCCGGAAGGGCCAGCTGTCGCTATCTCAGCAACTTTTTTTACTATGATTCCAGACTAACTGCTCTTCTGATGAACGTGTCTTTCAACAACGTTTATTCTAAAACAGGGTACACACACATACACACATACCCCATGCACTTAGTATTGTAAATTTTCTTTTTTTTTCTCTGATGTGCCTATCTATATATTATAAAGGTCCGATCTTACTTTCTTTTTTATTTTTATTTTACTTTAAGTTCTGGGGTACATGTACAGAACGTGCAGGTTTGTTACATAGGTATACATGTGCCATGGTGGTTTGCTGCACGTATCAACCCGCCATCTAGGTTTTAAGCCCCTCATGCTTAAGGTATTCATCCTAATGCTCTCCCTTCCCTTGCCCTCCACCCCCCGACAGGCCCCTGTGTGTGATGTTTCCCTCCCTGTGTCCATGTGTTCTCATTGTTCACCTCCCACTTATGAGTGCGAACATGTGGTGTTTGCTTTTCTGTTCCTGTGTTCGTTTGCTGAGAATAATGGCTTCCGGCTTCATCCAAGTCCCTGCAAAGGACATGAACTTATTCTTTTTTTATGGACACATAGTATCCCATACTATATATGTGCCACATTTTCCTTATCTAGTCTATCATTGATGGGCATTTGGGTTGGTTCCAAGTCTTTGCTATTGCAAATAGTGCTGCAATAAACATACGTGTACATGTGTCTGTATAGTAGAATGATTTATAATCCTTCAGGTACATACCCAGTAATGGAATTGTTGGGTCAAAGCAACCAACTAACATATGAGAAAAAGCTCTTCATCACTGGTCTTTAGAGAAATGCAAATCAAAACCACAATGAGATACCATGTCATGCTAGTTAGAAGGACAAGTATTAGAAAGTTAGGAAACAACAGATGCTGGCAAGGCTGTGGAGAAATAGGAATGCTTTTACACTGTTGGTGGGAGTGTAAATTAGTTCAACTATTGTGGAAGACAGTGTGGCGATTCCTGAAAAATCTAGAATCAGTCTAATTTTCAAAACTTAAGTGATAATGTATTTCAGAATCAAAATAGAAACAGCCACTATACTCAATCTCCTGATATTGATGAAGATACCACAGTTTAGAAAAAATGTACTGACACTTAGAATCACAAAGTTAGTAAAGAGTGGATCTAAGACACCCAGATCAGTAGTAATCCCAATACCATCCAACTATCTTTCAAGTTGAGTGTTTCTTAACATTTTCTTAAAATTTCTCTTTCAAAGTTTCTCCAGTTTGAAACCAGGAAAAAGCAACTGTGCTGTTTAAACTGGCACTGAACAAGATAGGGTACTTTGAAGAAGATACTAATAGAATGTAGAAGTAATTCCATATGCATGGAGTATGTCTGGCTCATTTGAAACCTTTCCTTTCTCCCCAAAACAATACTGCTTCTCTCAGCAATGAACCCAAAGTACACAAATAATTATTCTTTATAAAAAAGGAACTGTCTAGAATCAGCAGTGAGTTGGCAGCAGACCATCAGATTAAATTTTGGAAAATAATTAAGTTGCTTAATGCTTTGAAAGGTTAATTTGCAATTGGCATTTTGACGGATTCCTGGGGTAAATGCAAATACACCGTGTACTGGCCCTTAGCCCCTGCTCTGTCACTGGGTTCCTTTGGAGCCTCTGGTGTTTCACTCTTCTTCTCAGGGGTGGAGTCTTCTTGTCTATAAAATCAGAATGATGGATTGGAGAATTCATTAGCTCTTTTAAGCTGCTGATTCTTGATTCCACATTTAGGAAAATACATTCAGCAAATATTCATGCTATGGCCACCCTTGTGCTAAATGTCCTATTCTGTTCCTGTCCGTGGGTTGTGTGAGCTGATCCACTAACCAACCCCAACGACCTTGTGAAACTGCAGCATCTCTTTTCTCCCAAGGAAGAAATTAAAACTCAAACAAGATCATCTTAGGATCAAAACTAGAATGTAATAGGACTAGAATTCAGACTCAAAGACCAGTGTCCTTCTACTAACTAGAGCTACAAAGGAAACAAACACCCAGTATTTTAGAAGTAAAAATGGAAGAGAGCTGTAAACAGAGGCACAGATGGGGAGTGGAGCTGGGAAGGTATCTTGTGAATTCCAGACGTTTGAAATTTCCAGCTGGAGCTTAATTCCGGCCACACATGAACAGAAATTGTTCATTCTTGATTATGTTCCATCTGTCATATCTAAAAATATTACTTAAAGGAGAGTTACCAAAAAAAGCGTTGATGAAAATATCGATTTCTTATTAAACAGAAACCCATATGCTTTGTACTCTATAAATGAATATTTCAAACATAAAAATAATATGAAAAATTCATTCCATTCACACATAAAATAATACTAAGAAAAAAACAACTCAAACAGAATTTCTAGAGACTCGGTAAAACTATTTACTTTCATGTTTGGTCTTCAAATACTGACTTAGGGTTCAATTCAAGTTGTTTATTTACATCCTTCCAAAGTTACTGGTGCTCTATTTATAACCTAACTCCTAAGCAAATATAAAAATGTAAGGAAGCCAGACTGGCTGCAGTGGCTCATGCCTGTAATCCCAGCACTTTGGGAGGCCAAGGCAGGCAGTTCACCTGAGGTGGGGAGTTCACTCAAGAACAGCCTGACCAACATGGAGAAACTCCGTCTCTACTAAACAAACAGACAAACAAACAAACAAACAAACAAACAAAACAAAAAAATTAGCCGGGCATAGTGGTGCATGTCTGTAATCCGTAATCCCAGCTACTCAGGAGGCTGAGGCAAGAGAATCGCTTGGAACCGGGAGGTGGAGGTTGTGGCGAGCCAAGATGGCATCCTGGGCAACAAGGGCCAACTGTGTCACAAAAAAAAAAAAGTAAGGAAGCCCTACAAAATGTCAGAACTAATACGTATTGATGTCTATAAAGTGACCATATTACAATGTCCTCATCATGCCAAATTTCATAACTCACAGAAGAAAATATATTCTATTGCATAATGCAAGTGAGTATCTTATTTATTTTTTAAGAGATCAGTTGAGAGAGAGAAAAAACAGTGTGCTGTCATGGCACAGGACAATGAAAAAGAAAGAGAGAAAAGCTTCCTTGCCTTCCATGGCTGCCTCCAAGGAGCCCCAGTGACCCTTCCTTTCCCCGTCACATATCAAAGCCCTCATTGGAGAATTAGAGTAGATGCTGAACTGAGCAGTACAGTGAAACACACATTTCAGATGTCACACATAAAACAACTTGTTTACATTGTATAGAGAATGTCTTTTACACATTTTTAGACTTTGGGGAAAATGACTAGCTCTCACAAAACACATGCTTATTCACACAAAACACATTTTTCCTTTGCAGGTAAATTGAATATAATCCCCCCAAATCAAAATTAAGCATGGTCACTAGACAGACAGCCCCTACCCAATTATACTTATATACATACAGAAGAGAAAGAGAATGTATTATGTCTATCCCATGAAAGCAAATTTGATGTTTATATTTTACATACTTTATTGTCAGTATATGCATTAAGTTCAAATTACCTATCGCCATAAAGAAGGTGGTGCTCTGAGTTTCTCAAATGAAGGCATGAATTATCTCAGGGGTCCACAGACATGTGGTGAGGATAGGGAAACAGAAATTCATGAGATTAAGGCTGTGAACCTTCCTGCAGCCCCTGCTTTACTGAAGGATTTGGAGGTAAATTCGTGAGGATGCTTTCTCCTGAACTGGTACCTGAAGGCCTGGGCTCAGTGCCTCAAGAGAGCAATTCACCTCACATGGCAGCAGATCACATGTCCAGCAGTTCCCAGGCTGATGAACACAGAGACTCCATGGTGTCATGAAGAATCAAACCTCCAGATTCTATTTTTTGCTCTATTATGTTCACCCTAGAGCCTCTCCTCAGTCTACCTCCCCAGTGTCAAAGAATAACCACAGCTCTGAGGATGGCAGACACAAAAATGTCCAGAAAAGAAGACTGATACATCATTGTCTCTCTTTCAAGAACAAGGAAGAATATTCCAGTATGACCCCTCGAAATCACTGGGTCCCTCCTAACTACATGGCTGACAACAGTCATGGGACTCCCATGATTGGCTTATTGAATCACCCTGAAACTGGACACAGCATCATCCTTGCTGTGTATACATCTGTGTTGGGAGGGTGGGCACAGGGACAGAATTAAGGGTTTACAAGTAAAAAGAAGGAGGAAATGGATATTGAGTGAGCCATCCATTGTCCCTCTAATTCAACAATTAGATGTATATTTTATGGACACACCACGAAGAAAATTTCAAAGTTCACATAAATTGTAAGAAGGTGCAGAAGACTGAAAAGAATGTACCTGTCTGTGCATGGTGGCTTCCTCTGAGATCTCTGCTCTATGCTCCCTTCACAAATCCTCTATGCTATTAGGGATAATTCACCGGAAAAGATGAGTCTGTACGCTGGGCTTATGCATTTGGACTGGCTTCATTTTGCCTGCTCTTCAACACTGCCAAGGGAGACAGGGGTATTTAACAACCAACTGCAAGAAAACAATGGCATGTAAATGCTCTACCCCTAAACATTTCTCATGGCCTGTCACAGTGGTCCCTGAAGTATGTTAGAATACAAGGTTCTTATCTCCCAAATTCAGTTGACCTTCCCAGACTTGAAACCTACCCACTTTGCCAAGTGCATGATCCTTTAGTCATACTCATTTTTTTTTTTTCTCTCAATAAATGAAACATGCCCTTTTGTGCTTTGGTGAGGCTTCCACTTTCTGACCCTTCTCAGAAGGCCACGGTGTTCCTCTTTCACTGAGAAGCTCTTGTTCATTTTCTTTAAAGCAATGATGGACATTCGTTGATTTCCTGCTCCCTGGCATCAGTAATCTTGCTAAGAGCACCCAGACCCTTCTTAAAGAATTACGTCTCCTTCATTTCATACAGTCTCTTTGTAAGCAAACAATAGGCCCTTATCCCTCACTGTGGAACCCTTGGGAGCCTGCAACCACCTGTCCCTGAGTGGGGATATAGTAAACATGAGCACATACCATGAGCTTAGAACCTCAGATCTCCTCTCTAGAGGCCTCAAATCTTGAGAGGGACATGAAAAGAAAGCGGAAACCGTAGGAGGTCATTTTCCATCATTGAGCTCTGTCCACAGTAGCCCTGATGGAAGCGCCCTTCACAGCCTCTATGGCCACAAGGGGCTCCCTGAGCTTGACTCCCCGAGCACCCCTGGTGTCTGCCCCTCGTCAAGCTCTTGGATCCATCTCCATCTAAGCTTTGGTTCTTTCTAGAACGAACAACCCTGGCTACAGCAGAGAGCTAAATAAACTCTCACCTCTCTTCTAAAGTCTGCTCTAAAAGCAGCATTTAGTCACTGTTCTCCCTTGTTTTCTTAATGTATATATTCTAGTCATGGTATGATCACTTCATGTTTTGGATAATGTGAGATCCCTGAGGAAAGGAAGCTTTACCGCTAATCTGACAAAACGAAGATGTCTTACATGGTGGAAAAAACACAGCTTCAAAATTTAAAAAAATAAACAAAGTGGATTCATTGGCTCTTTCCTTTACAGGTAGCATACCTCTGAATGAATTAATTAAACTTCCTGATTCTCAGTGACAGCATCTTAAAAATGGGAGAGATCCTGTTGTTATGAAGATTAAACTAAAGGGTATGTAAAGCTCTAGCAATATGTTGGATTCAAAAAATACTTTTGGAATGAATGGCTAAAAAGATGAACTCCACTGTTGAAGAGGGAAAGCAGCTTATGTGTTTTAGGACTACACATAAAAAGCCACAGTGTCATTACTACACCATACGGCATATGTACAGCTTTTTCAGTTTGCAAAATGCTTTCATGGACATTGTTTCATTCAATGCCAAAGTGCGTAAGAAGTGCATTTTACAGACTAGAAAATTAGTCAGAGTGGTAAGGGTATTCCAAGGAAAAAAAACAAATTGCGTACCTAACGGAGTTTTAAAATTTCCATGAAAGCAGCTTATTTTTCTCAAACTAAAATACAAAGTCTTTGAAAGTAGAGGTCATTTGTATTTATATGTCACAGGCACACAGAAAATAATTAACAACTATTAGGTAAATGAGTCATTCAAATGAAAATCCCGAAAAGGAATGAAATAAAACACTGAGTAAAAAGCCTTAACTCTGAACCCAAGATATCTGGGGTCAAATCTCATCATCACCTCCTACTCATCATATAACCTTGCACTGATTACCTAGCCCAACTTGTGCTTTATTTTGTCATTGGGAAAGTGGTGGTAACAGCAACATCAATTATTTTTTGGAAATAATTAATGGCTAATACCCGTTTAGCACTTAGAATAGGGTCTGGAACATAGTAAGATTCAATAGAAGAAGCTATCACTGTATTACTACTACTACTAAGATATCATAAATTTCATCATCATTATCATTGAGTTATGAAGAAACAAGCATGCAAGGAAAGCCAAGGCTAAATAGCTAGCTTGGCTCAGGAGGTGTCTGGAAGATATTCAAGGTCAGGAGAATGCAAGGCTAATCCTGGGGAGTGTGCCCAAGATCAAGGAGGAGTGGGCACATGCAGGAGATCCCTACAGTTTGAAGTCTAGAAAGTCAAAGCGTTAGCGAAGCCTTGGCCAGCAAAGAGAGCTAGCAAATGCTAAGTGCACGGTCCCCTCCCAAGGCCTTCAGTCCTTAGGTTCCCTGGATGCAGACGGCAAAGGGCACTCAGAAATGCACAGAGGAAGCAGAAACCACCTGCCATCTCTTTGTCGGACAAGTCAACTTTTCTCTCTGACCCCACAGACAACCTCACTATCTTCAAGGAGAAACCCGGAGCCGTGTGATGACAGGTTCCCCTCCTTTGCTCTGCAAGCTTCCTCATTATGGGCAAGCTCCTGCCCTATCCTCCTTTGACTTGTGCCTTCAGGGCATGATAAAGCTTGTAGTTACTCCAAACCCGACCACAGATCCTCTCTGAGGTTCACTACAAAGAATGTAGAGATTTGGATGTTTGACTCAGGGTAGGAATTTGTCATAGTCCCAGCTTATTATGGGGAGGGGAGAAGCCCCACCAATTGACAGGCAAACCAAAATATTCTTTTCATGCTGGCACTATAATCCAAAGAGCATACCTCAAGGCAGTCTTCAATGATACTCCAAAACTTGCAGCAAATGATCAAAGACACAGACTATTGGCTTAGAATGGGTGCTGCTGCTGATAGAACCACACACCGCAGCCTCTGCCAGCCTCATGCATCAGCAAATGTGCTCAGCTGAGACAAGGTAAGTGTCTTTCAAAATAACTTTAAGCAAATAATCATTTTACTGTTTGTCTTCTTGGTTAAGCTATATAATCGCTTACATGGGAAAGGTTTGTAGTCATTGTTTTGATGAATGGTACTTGGTAAATATATTTGGAATAAGATAAGAATCAGCCTTTGAAGCTAAAATGGACGGCAAGATGAAAAAGAATTGAAGATTAAAAAAAAGATCATGAGGGAATAAAGATGCAATGACCTGATCAAGAAAGAAAATAAGAAAGCTCTGAAGCCTTTCCATGATATTCTCGTAGCAGAACTATTAAATTTAATCTTCCGAAACTAGGTAATCAAACTATCTACTCACTGGATTCTCCCAGTTGATACAGCTTCTAGACACCCTGGTTAGGAGGGAATATTCCCAGCACATAGATATTAATCTTTTCCAGGTTGATTTCGTTTTGTTTATAATACAATAAACCTATGCTTGAGTCTTCGGCACACATAAGAGGCTGAAAATCAAAATGCAAAATTTAAGCACAAATTTTTAGTTCAACTTTTCATTACACTTAACAGGTTTTCCTTTCTAACTATAATATAATCATTCTTACTAAACATTTTAAATTCCTGTATTCTCAGTTCCTTTTTTTATATTAAGGCTAATCATTACCCAAATAAAATAAGCATGTCTCTATAAACACAGGAAGTAACCATGAAAAAAAATGATTACTATGCACACAAAGAAAATGATACACTGCTTCAGAAAGTCTCCTAAATCTCTCTCACCACGTACTTGAAACCAATAAATGGCGAACAATTTAAAAAGTCTGCTGCATTCCTAAAAGGACATTGAAATGTCCAGAAGAGTTACAGATTCATAATATGAGTAGAACAAGAAGTAGAGATTTAGTGGCTCCGTATCTGTAAATTAGAAAGTAGAAATGGAATGCAGGAGGGGAGCTCTTAAGTGGATGGAAGGGTTTCGACAAAGATGACATAAGAGAAATCACTTCGAAGAACAGAGTGGTCACATTTTCCTCTGAGAGAGGTGTTGCTAATTCACGAGTGAGTCTGAGATTTCATTTAAGTATAGCACAGAAATGCAAGGGAGTGTACTGAGAATGATAAAGCAATGTCTCAATTATTATCTTCCCTTCTTTCTTCTTCATATCAATGCTTTTAGTGGAGGACAAATGCATTACAGAAAACAAATCTGTTTCCATCTTTCTGCCATCAGCGAACAAATACTAAGCATCTTTAAGTAACACCAGCGTGGAGACATCAACCAATAGCCTACGTGGGAAATGCATTAAAATATGCATGTAAAAGTAGGATACGTATGATATTCTCAGAACTGGAAAAGATGATCGCTATTCTACTAAAATAATTACTGAATTAATCATAAATTGTAAATGTCTCACACACAAATCACAGAATGTGACGACAAGGCACCCAGACTAACCGATTTGCAAATAGGCAGCGGAGATGCTATCCTATCACTTAGGCCCAGGGAGCATTCATCTGGATTTGGGCATAGAGAAAACAGTTCGGAGGACTTGTTTTAGCTACCTGTGGCCAACACTCAAGAAAAGTGAAAGAGGTTGGAATAATTTTCCATATTTAAAGAGGGTCGCAGGATGCTACAATTTCAGCCTCTGCAGGAAGAATTTGGCTGATGTACTTGTCTCTCTGGGATCATATATTGTAACAGAATATCCATTTGGTTCACTTTTAGATCAGATAAATATATATATATATATGGATAAATATATAAATACATATATATGGATAAATATATAAATATATATGAATTTTTATTTCTGATTGAAGTAAGAATTTAAGTTCCACTATCTAACATACAAAGATATTCCACCAATTTTAAGCTAGTGTTTTTTAATAATGAAACTACCTGAAGCAATATATTTTAAATCATCTTTTATTAACTCTTTCAGAAAACAATCCTGTAATGTCACGTGTTTGTTGATCTGCTGCTAGAGTTTTCAGGGATTAAAATATTTTTATAACCAAATTAGCAAAACAAAAATACCAACTCTTTTTATTGTTTAAAGAATACAGACACGCACGCACCCTCATTGTTCAGTTAACTTATTCATCAACCAAAATCACTGATTTCAAAAGCAAAGAAACACATAAGAGAGAAATGATTATTTTTAATTTTTGCTTTTTGTACTTTTCTGCTTCCTACTAATTTTTTTTCTGTTGATTTTAGTGTTTTCCCTTCGTGTTAAAAAATTAGTTCTTTTCTGGAGATTATCTCAGACAACTAACAAAACTAAGAATTGTTCAGTTTTATTCCCTGATAGAAATTTAGAGTACAATTACAATTTCAGGGGATTGCTCAAAATTTGATATATTTTCATTATTGTTTGAGTTAAACTCCAAAAATGTATGATCTTTAGATTCTCAGAAGTAGTTACTTTTCTATCAAAATTTTACACATTTATGTTTTAAGATCCCCAAAAATAATATTATGAATATAATTATTTTTTAAAATTATTGGCCAGGAGCAGTGGCTCACACCTGTAATTCCAGCACTCTGGGAGGCTGAGGTGGGCAGACTGCTCTCAGGAGTTTGAGACCAGCCTGGCTAACATGGTGAAACCCCGTGTCTACTAAAAATACAGAAATTAGCTGGGTGTGGAGGCATGCGCCTGTAGTCCCAGCTAGTTGGGAGGCTGAAGCAGGAGAATCATTTGAACCCTGCCAGGAGGCAGAGGTTGCAGTGAGGTGAGATTGTTCCACTTCGCTCCAGCTTGGGTGACAGAGTGAGACTCTGTCTAAAAAAAATAAAAACATTACTGCATATATCTCACCTTCTGTGTTGAATAATGGTACCAAACAAAAGCTGGTTGGAGAAAAATACAGACCTGATTGTGAATATTCTAAACAGAGACAGAGAGTGTTTAATATTGGAAAATGCTAGAGAATTTTGAGTTAACTGACAGAATAGAAGGGGAAGATGAGGTAATCTACAGATTAGCGATATAAGAAACTGTCTCTAACCCATTGGCTGGGAGAGGAAGATGTTAAGTAGATTTAAGGCTCTACTTAAAGTCTTGGATGGTGTAAAAGACCTTTGAGGACTAGAGGCTGAGGTTCAAAGGCTTCCAGACACCTAACAGAGACTTGAAGCCAGGGACAAATGTAGATGACCCACGTGAGTATTTAAGTATTCCTTATTGCCTTTATTACTGTTGCTATAACCAAGAAGGTGCTGCAGGGATTAATGACTTACACCAGGTTTGCCTCAAGACCAGTGTGCTTCTGTGCAAGGCTTTAGTAATACTTACAGTGTAACTAAAGCAAAGTCATGATCACTTTCCTAAAAGAATCTCAAACAGCAAAGTCAAGGAGAGAAACAAAACTTATTGTTACATAATTTAAAAGCATGATGGTACTTTTTTCTCAAATAAATAATTTTGTCATTTCTATTGTGGGGTGGTTGAATGGCAGAGAATATGGAAGAAAAAAGAGGGGATATAACTAATATTTATTGAGTGTAAGCATGAGCTAATAGTTTAGGCTTTATCTTGATATTAACTATATGTTAAACCCACTTTGTTCATAAAGCAATTGCAGCCCATCCAAATTAAATATCTGAGCTAAGTTCATCAAAATGTCAGATTTGAGGCAAGAGCCTATATCTAGCTGATTCGAAAGGGTGGGATATAATCCTAGCTCTGTTTCTAAAAGTTATGACCCTTCTCTGATCTCTGGTTTTCCATTTTGCAAGTACTTTGGATGATTAAATGAGCTTTTTCAAATCCCCAAATTCAAGTTTTTATAGAAGAGCCTGAATCACGGATTGCTTCAGCACTTCAGAGGCATTGCAAAAAAGGCATTTGAAACGAATGGGGAACTTTTAAGAAGGTTTTAACTTTCATTTTTATGGATATATAATATATGTTCCTATGTATGGGTATATAAGATATGAGGTTAAAAGTAAATAAATGCAAATAAAAGGTAAATCTAAGTAAACTTCTTTTAAGACATATTATGTGCTGCATTCTTTCAGAGAATGATACTGCTTAACAAATAAAAAACCCTGTAATCTGAAAAAAATAAAAATAAAGAGGCAAAAGCAACTATATTTCGTTTTTATTTTATTAATTAAAATATACTTTTATCTTTGTATTTTTAATTTATTTATTAAAGAAACCCATTTTATAATTTTGAATATGATTGAATATGCCTATTTTAAAAAAAAATCTTTGTTGAATTCTTTATCAGACAGCAATTTGGGTATTTGTATCTAACTTCAGACAGTTTTAATATTTACTTTACATGGCCATCATAATGGAAAATCTCTGATACTTCAAAAATGGAAGAAAAGGAATCATCGGCTATGCTTACTATCCCATCCACATAACATACAAAAGTTTGGATATAAAATGGAGATATTAAAGTATCATCTGACATCATGTAAGTCAGTTTTTCTAACAAATTAGTTGAAAGATATTGCAACTTATATTTGTAACAAATGTGTTCAAAACATAGTGTACACTCAGGTGATTAAGGTTAACACAGACAGTAATAATCACTATTGATAACATGTAACCTTGATATGAAGTGATGAAAATGGCACTTTACCTCTGTGGTCTTCCTCCTGAAAACCTATGACTCCAGTCTAATCATGAAACAAACAAACAAAAAAACTCTGACAAATCTCAATTGAGGGGCATCTATTAAATACCTGACTAGCTGTCTTCATCTGTTCAGGCTGCTAGAACAAAATGCCTTAGACTGAGTAACTTAGAAACAACAGAAATGTATGTCTTTCAGTTCTAGAGGCTGCAAAGTCCAAGGTCAAGGCACCAGCAGATTTTGCAGCTGGTGAGGGCTTGCTCTTTGATTCATAGATGACATTATCTTGTTGTATCCTCCCATGGTGGGAGTAACATGGCAGCTCTCTTGGACTTCTTCTATAAAGGCATTCATCTCTGATCACTTCCCAAAGCTCTCACCTAACACTGTCACACTGGGGATGGGGATTAGGTTTCAACGTATGAATGCGGGGGTGTAGGGGGCAGGCACAAACATTTAGAACACACCACCAGGATTCTTCAAAACTGTCAAGGTCATCAAAAACAAAGTCTGAGAAACTATCATGGCCAAAAGAATTTTAAAGAGAAATAACAGCTAAATGAAATGTGATATATTGGATGAAATTCTGGAAAATAAAGAACATGATGTAAAAACTAGGAAAATGTTTTAAAAGTATAGACCTAGTAATAACATAGCAATACTTCTTCATTAATTGTAACAAACATACTACACTAATGTAAGATGTTAATAATACAACTGGGTACAGGATATTTGGAAACCCTCTGTACTATTTTGGCAATTTTTCTAAAAATCTAAAATTGTTCCAAATTATAAAATGATTTAATGTAATTCCTCATTGTGGAGATTTTGAAATTTATTTTCAATATGCTATTTTTTTCAGTCTGTAAATATAAAAAGCCTTTAGTATGGATATACGTATACAATTTTCTGAAACACGAATCATGAAAAAAAATGGAAATATTTTCAAAAAACTCTTCACACTAACACTCCTTCCATAGCTTGCGTTTCCGCTCTCAAAAGCAGCACTTGCTGTGGGTTCCTACTGATACAGGAACTAAAAAGAAATTATCTAGGTAGTTAGTGAGGGTAAGAGAATCTTCTGTAAGGTTTTCCTTTCAATAAAAAGCATTCCCCAAATCATTTCTTTTCGAACAAAGAGCAGCCTGAAAATTCAAGCTGCAGACATAGAAAAGCAAGCTAGAAGTTTGCACAGTTGAAAGCCGGCAGCGGTGCTAACAGGAAGAGGCTACCTGGGGGCCAGGCCTGTTCAACACGGAGTCTCCATCTTCCCCTTTCTTTGTCAACCACGTATACGGTAAAGGAACAGGCAACATGGCGGGGCCAGGTAGAGAACCCATGTGCGTAATAAAAGATTAGGGTGGGGCAGCAAGCTTCTTCCTGCTCTATGTAAATGGCACACCTGGTCCAACCAATCTTTTGGGCCCTATGTAAATCAGATATCACAGCCTTGAACTAGTCTATAAAACCCAATGCATTTCACCCCTGAACCAGGACACCCACTTGGGAGCCCCTCTCTCTGCAAGAGAGAGAGCTTTTCTCTTTCTTTCGCCTATTAAACCTCTGCTCTTAAACTCACTCCTTGTGTGTCTGTGTCCTTGATTTCTTTGGCATGAGGCAACGGACCTTGGAAATTACCCCAGCAGATGATGCTGCTTCGCTGTTAGAGCATTGCCTGTCTTGGAAGTGCAATGATGTCTGTAGCTTGATGGGCTACTGTGTTTTCTCACTGGTCATGTGTACTTGTCTTCTTGGTATTCTTTTTTTTAATATAGATTTTGTGTAGGTTTTGTTTTTACTCTTTTTGTCATTTTGTGGGGGTTGGTTTGATTATAATTAGATAATTAACAAACCCACTTTACCAGGAAAAGTTACGTTAAAATAGGTTACAATATTAATTACCATCCACCTCTTACAACTGAGGAAGTCCCCCTCTTTCCTCCTCCTATTTCCGCAACCATCTGACCACAGAGAGATACGGCTCTATCCCTCAGGAAACCCGCCAATGGAAGATGGCAGTTGAACTAGGGAGAGGAAAAGATGTGGATATTTCAGTTTTGTTTGTTTTGTTTTTCTGTTATTTTAATCATAAAGATAGAATTCACATTTTATACCATTTTCCTGAATGCTCAAAACTTCTTTGCTTATTAGTCTCCCTGACAAAATGTAAAGTGATCATTAAATCACCAGATAGAGTTTAGTTGATGTTTGGTAGGAAAGCAATGGAAAGCTCATGAAATTCACAGGGAATTACCTCATAAAGAAGAGACAAGTAAATGAATGCTAATTTAATGTGAATATAAGATCCTAAGGCAGTACAGTCACTATTCTTCTCTTAACTTTCTTTTTAAAAATGTTTCTCCTCTTGTTATGAACCACTAGGAAAATACACATAGAGATGGACTCTTCATGCATGCTTCTGAAAATATCTACATGCTAATGCTATTTGATAAAGTCTATTTTACATTCAACAAAACCATGAAGCTTAAAGAATCCTTTTCATTTTTCTCCAAAAAATATGTGTTGTTTTCTATCTATCACTCTTTTATAGTAAGAAGTTTTTTTTTATAAGCTAGAGTTTTCTTACATAAAATACACATGTTGGCATGAAAGAAGAAACTGAATTTTACTCAAAGCATGAAAAAACTGTACTATCTGTATTACTATTTTTTTTAGATTTGTTGACTGTGTGTGTGAGGTAGTTGGCCTTGATTAGAGCTATTAGTATAGGGTTCCCTTGTGAGAAAAGACTTGGGAAATGCAAACACACAGGTGGAAATGCAAACACATTTTCATTTACTAATTACTGCAATCAAGGCAAAGCTCATAAACCATTAAATTTCATTTAGTATAAAAAAATAGTGAACTGATTAGTCAGCTACAAAGACATTAGACTATATTCACTAAATATTATAGAACTATACTGTGATCTTGTTAATGGCTGTTTTTCTACATTATTTATTCATTTGTTTATAAAGAAGCTGAGGATTTTAGAGGATGACAAAGCACTTAGGAAAATAAACATTAAAGATAACACCTAGTATGGAAGACATGCATTGCATTAATACGTCAGATACAGAGGACCTTGGATTGCTCACTGTATTTGCTACCTAAATCAGTGAACAAACAGAAGAAATGAGGCAAGTGTTTGCAAAAGCTCTGTGGGGAACAGTAGGATGTCCAGCTTGATGAAAGAATAAATCTTGCAACTCCCAAAGGCACAGTAGAATTCTATGTATGACCTAATAGGGTAGAAGGATGAACTATGACTAATGTTAACTGAAAAGACAGACAAGAATTTCCTTGCCATCTTAAAACTAAACACTTAAGAAGGAAAACAGTTCTATACTAAACTCATTATTAAATAAATCAGTCTCTATTTAAACCAAGTGCATGGGGGGTCCTGAGGTTGGAAAGCTTGACTCTGAGAGAATCTGGCAATACAAAATTCTGAAAAGTCTTCTAGGATGAGTAGGTGAGGAGAGCGGCAATAATGACTAATCGTCCAAGGAAGGAGAACTTGGGTTGATAACTGACTGCGTGCGGTAGAATGCGCTTTTTGGTAGAATGACTTCAGTAAAAGGCACAAAAAAATAAGTCTTTTTTTTTTTTTTTTGGTCTCTGTCAGCTTAGACAGATTAGAGATGTATGTGGAAACACTGGAAATATAGCAAATACTGTGAGGAATATTTCTGTTCTTTTAGGTTTGAGTCACTAAGGAGAACTTAGATATAAACAAATTCATTTGAAATCCTGTAAACATTTCTAAATCATGCACTTGTCTGTTTTGATCACTTAACAATATAATGTACTAATTTGGTAAATAGTAATTTACACACTGGTTTTGTACCTGTTAATCTATAATTACTATAATCTTTAAGAATTATTTTATTGAGGGCTTACTATATGCCAAGTATATTGCTAAGCACTTTAAGTCTACTAACTCATTTAATTACAAAATTTCATGAGGCAGGAATTTTTTTTAAATGTATCAACTTTTCAGATAAGTACACAGGACTAGAGAGATACATTAACGTGTGGAGTGCCAAACAACAGGTCAGTGGTTGACATGGGGCTTGGAATGCAGGGTTGTCTGGCTCAAAATCTCATTCTTTAACATCCATGATGATGTTTCCCAAACATTATGTCTCATCTGTTCTCTTTTATTCTGTTATTCTTAAATGCTGAATGTGACCCACTAAACTAATTCTATGATCCACTAATTTGATTCAATGTTTGTGAAATCCTGCTCTGGGCAACATGCTTGACTAAAGAGATGTTCAGAGTTTGGGAAATGCTTCTATATATTGTCACCTTGTTTTAGTTTCACAATGCCTCTTTGGAGGAGACAAAATAGATAGGAAAAGCTAAAGGTTGAATGAGGTGATCAGGGTCTCCTAGCTGGTATATTGCAGAATTGGGACTGACACCCAGGATTCTGGATCAATTCTCACTTTCTCCTCCGTATCTCTATCACTTCCACATTGAACCAAGGCGTGATCTTCCCTTACCTGGGTATTACAGTAGCCTCAAGCTGTACTCCCTGCTTGCTTCCCTCCCTCCATTCTCAAAAGAGCAGCCACAGTGATGCTTGCAAAACCTATGTCAAGTCACACCACTTCTCAGCTCAAATCCCTTTAGCTGGTGCAAGAATTGCGTGTCCAGAAGGCCCTCATGAACTGGCTCACAGACAGACAGACAGACAGACAGACACACAAGCACACACATACACATACAGTCACACAGTCATGCATTGATTCACATATATCCACAAAAATACATACACTCACATGCATACACAATTATATACACATATGCACATGCATACATACACACATAAGAAACAAATACACATACATATACACACACATTCATACACATGCACAAACACACTCTGTCCTTTCATTTATTTGGCTAGTTTGTTTCGAAATGGAGCAGGATAGCTTATTTCCAGTAGAGAAGTCATTGTATCACTGTATTTAAAATTATTCTTGCATCTAGATGTTTCTAACATACACTGGGGAGAGGTAGTTGGAAAGCAATGTAGCCTGAGACTCAGAGTAGAATTTGAAATAATGCCATGCCCAGTCTAATTAAGAAGTATTTAAATGGTGAAGTAATTATATGGTAACCAATAAGTCATCATAACATACAGTGAGAGTGAGGGGTACGAGGAATGATCCCTAAAATATAATGCACGAGAACACTCACTGAATGCAGAAAGAAAATGTTAAAACGTATATCCCATATTTATTTTTGTCCAAATAAAATAATGTTTATAGTATTTTATGTAAGGTTGTTGGTGGCCCCATGTGGTCATGTTAGGCAGACACATGTTGAGTAGTTAGAAATGAGGTGTCCCAAGGGCAAGAGTGGGAATTCCACCACAGTAAGACGATGATGGAGGCACCTGAGTCACTGGGTCCCCTTTTAAGTACTGTAGCATGCTTTCATTTGCACAGCATCTGACCCCCTCTGTTCTGGTGTCCTTGCACAGCAAGCTGGTACCTACGTTAGAGCCTAGGCACAGTCTGCTCTCTAGATTCCATCTGGAATGTCCTTCCCTTGCCATCAGCACAGTTCCCTCATTCAGCTCCTCCAGGTCTGTACACAGATGTGTATCACCATCCAACAACCACGGCTCACTTCTCATCCTTCCCCCACCTTCTTTTTCTCTATAACACCCAACAATGTCCAACAGACTCTGTCTCTTCCTCTCTTGTCTGTTTCTCCCCATTCGGAAGGCACAACAGAGACCAGAGACGACTAGGATGTTGTCACCTAGGTTCACTGTGCCCACTTCATGGTGGCTCTCAAAAACAACAAAAAAGTTTGCAAGAATGAATGAAGCTACATTTACAAATGGTAAATTCATAAAAATAAACATTAAAATTTTTATTTCTCTTTACCTTGCCTGGCTTATTGGCACACTTTTTAAATTGTTCTTTCCCTATGTTTTAAGAACTATGTGTGTGTGTGTATATATATATATAAAATATATATTGTATATAAAAAATATATATTACATAATAATATATTGTATTATATAATATATAAAATATATATTATAATAAAATATTGTATTATATAACATATAAAATATATATAATATATATTACACATATAATTGATAACATGTTTAAATATAAATATAAAAGAAATAGTGCTCTGTGCCTCATTCCATTTTAGCATACCCCTACCGGGACATCTCCTAAGATGGACACTGTAGACTCCCTGAATCAACATATTCCTTCTAAGAAACCACAGGTATTGTTTGAAATAAACATTTGCTTTCCATGCCTTCTAGTCTTTCTCCAAATGTGTCCTTGTGAAAATGCTTTTTTGCTCTGCAGTCTCCCTTTCCTTCCCAATCACTCACTGCCCAGTTGCCTGTTTTACTATCTTCCCCACCAGCAAGACCAATGCACCTTTCACTCTGAGTCAAACAAAAATTCTCTTGATTGATGGGGAAACATATGGAATTAAATCACCCGCATTAGAATTCCAGGACTTGGAAGGAAACAGACCGCTGCAATGACAAACAAGAATGGGCAATTTCACATCCTGCTCATTCATTTATCTATTCGTTCATCTGTCCAGATGCCTCCACACTGGTGAGCTCTGTTAAAGTGCCCAGTAACGCAGAGCTCCTACCATCAAGAATCCACAGCCTGAACCCAAGGAAGACCACGTATTTATGATAGAGGTGTCTGGGAAAATCTTTGAAATGCTCCGTCATGCTAAGGAAACTGATATGCAAACTTTCCATTTCAAAGGTATCCTTGCTGATTAATTACCAGTGGAGATTCCTCAAGGATGTCCTCTGGTGACATGAGACTGACTGATTTGTTTCCTTTTCTATAAGGATAGGTACAGCTGCTGTCTGAGGAGAGAGGAAGTTTAGTAACTAACAAGGCTGAAATAATGAAGCAGAGGCAGTGCCCAAGTCAGTGATGGGGAGAGGCTGGGAATGAACTCCAGTCCATTAGGGTACAAATCCTGAATCACAAGAAATAAGACCAGAAAGAGGAAATCCAAAGGAAAGAAGAGGGTGCCAGGGTTGGGTAAGGGGAAAGGTGACAGAAAGTTAGGGACATTTAGGTGTGAGGTCAAACTTGCTGAGGTTAAGAACCAGCACTGACCTCTCTTGGAACTGTCTAGTCTGCTGTAAACCACTGTGGAACTTAACACATACATTTTTCTAAAGATACCAGGGTCTGAGAGGAATAATCTGAAGATGTCGGAATTTGTGGAAGCCAAATAAACTTACGAAGTTTTTGAAGGCTCTCATTCTTTGCTTGAGCTGTCATGAGTATTCTCAAGTATTTGGGGATTCATATTTAATTTTTAGAGTTGATCTCAGTTAGTGTTCATGAATACAAATAAATCTATTATTGCTAGTTCTAGTTTTTTATAATAACATGATTTGGCTCTCACTATCATATTTATAGGCAAAAATGTACATACACACTCGTATGTATATAATGTCTAGGTACATAGGCATGTATATTATGATTACTAACATACATAATTTTTTTTCAGATGGAGTCTCGTCCTGTTTTCCAGGCTCGAGTGCAGTGGCATGACCTTGTCTCCCTGCAACTGCCACCTCCTGGATTCAAGTGATTCTCCTGCCTCAGCCTCTCGAGTAGCAGGAACTACAGGCATGTGCTGCCACATCCAGCTAATTTTTGTATTTTTAGTAGAGACGGGGTTTCACCATGTTGGCCAGCCTGGTCTCGAACAACTGGCCTCAAGTGATCTGCCCGCCTCAGTCTCCCAAAGTGCTGGGATTACAGGAGTGAGCCACCGCACCCAGCCACGATTAATAACATATAGGACTTTAATACAAAAACTGAACAACGATATGAAGCATAATAAAATAATTATTTATTGTAGAAAATATGTATTCAATTACATATTCATGGTGACTTTAAGTTTACCCCTTAAAAAATAGTTTTCAGAGAATTCAAGCTGTAACCTACACATAATCAGGTATTTTATTAAATGTCACATCCTCAAAGGTATCCTTCTGCCTCCTCCATTCAAATTTAGTTTCCCTAATGTATGCTCTCGTAACACTATATTTTTCTTATCTGTACTTATTACAATTTATGACCACTGTATAATAAAAACATTCACTAACAAGATATCACATACTATGGCTGGGCGCAGTGGCTCACACCTATAACCCTAGCACTTTGGGAGGCCAAGGTGGGTGGATCACTTGAGGTCAGGAGTTACAGACCAGCCTGGCCAACATGGTGTGAACCCATCTCTACTAGAAATACAAAAAGTAGCCAGGTGTGGTGGTGCGTGCCTGCAGTCTCAGCTATTCGGGAGGCTGAGGCAGGAGAAGCGCTTCAACCCAGAAGGCGGAGGTTGCAGGGAGCCGAGATCACACCACTTCACTCCAGCCTGGGTGACAGAAGGGACTCTGTCAAAATAAATAAATAAATAAATAAAATACTACTTACCTCAGCCAGGAAACTGTCCCACCTCTGAGCAAAGCCTACCCTTTCTCTGGGAAACACCTTTTGCCTTCAGCTATTTGGACCCAATATTTTCATGAGTTGTCTTCAGTAGACATCTCACACTCTGCTTAATAACCTCTCCTGACTCTACAGCTACATTTCCTGGGCCCCGATGTCTTTCCGAGATTTTCACTGCATTACTGCCTTCCCAAATATTTCCCTTCCAACTTTCAACCACATCCCCGTAAATATGCCGTATTCTCTCAATGTCACCTGTTTGCCACATAACTCAAGATTAGCATGTGGCATCCTTTCTACCATGTACCTTCTGTCTCCTTCCTGCCAGTTTGTTTTTCTTCATCTTCGAAACATAAAGCAAACTAAACTCTGCCAGGATTCCTGTTGATTATAACAATGTAACTGACTGCCATCATCATCACCTTGCCCTGGCCCCTCAGTGCTGTCTGAATAAGGGTCTTCTCCACCGAGCACTGTGTTCAGAGATTCACAGTAATGTTGAGGGAAGATCCCCACTTTAGGTAACGGCAGAGCTGAGTTCCCATCACAGCCCTTCCTGGTGGATGTGTGATCTTGGGCAGTTCATTTATTGTCTTCAAGCTTCACTCTAGTTTCTAAAATGTGGATAGTACTGTGTTCATAAGAAGGTATGAGGAAAAAGATGAGCTGGAAATTCTTTACAAAAGCTACTTATAAACCACCTTAAGGCACTATTTAAACAGGAAGTCATTTCATCGTGGCACCATTTGTAGAAGGAAAAACAAAGTAAGAAAGGATAAGCTCCATTCAGCCTAATGTACAATCATTTTTTTTTTCAAATGCGGGATCAATTTAAGACAAGAAAAATTATTAAGAGTCTAAAAAGCAAAAAACTATATAGTTTCAGATCGCCATTCCAGCCTCACTGCCCATTGCAGTTTTAGGTTCACTTGACAGCAAAGAGAAAAGGTCACTTTTGTCTTTAAATCATCCATGTGGCTGTCACCCATGCTTTCTCAGGCCTCATAAATCAATAGTGATATTAACAATTCTATATTGTATTTCTCTGATTCTTTTTTCCCTAAACTGTTGCCAAGTGCTCATCACTCTTTTGAGTTACAGAATCATGCTTTAAAGGAAGTCCTTAGGGTATTTTATGTTTTCCCAGGTCCTCTCTTACACCACATTTTGTCTTGCAGTGTCATCCTTACCTGTTCTCCATCAAGAATTCAGCCTGTAGTTCAAAGAGAATCCAGCTTCTCTGCCTGCAAAACCAGTAGGATTTTCACATTATTGTTAGATCTTACCCAATGCAAGGTGATCTTCATTCTGTGGCTGACATCTGTGAAATGACCAGAAGCTTTCTGGGACTCATCGTCCCTGAGTCCCGCAGCCTCTGGGTGTATGCCACCACAACCATGCATCTCCATGGCCGCCACGGATGCCACTGCAAAGCATTCTGCCCCTGGAGCAACAGTGTCTTGGCTTCGACTCCCACCGGCAGAGCAGAAGAAACCTCACAGCTTCTCTAGAAAATGGCCTTATGTCCTTTTGGGGAGAAGCTGGGGAGTATTTAACAGATGCATTTGCAGAGGTGTTTCAGAGGCCTTCCTCAGAAGAATCTGGTCCTCCCTTCAATCCATAGACTCTGCTTTTATGACTGAGATCTTGGACCTGATGAGGATGTATGACTCTCTTTGGGAGAGTGACATCAGCCTTCTACCTGCTGGCTCCCTCTCTTTCTTTCTTTAAACCATAGGTGCTAAACAACACCCATGTTGGCTGGGTGTGCATCTCTCCTCTGGAAGCACCAACTTCTCCAGCCACAGTCAGTGGCCCCACATGTCTCGCACCCTGATTGCCATTCCAGCCTCACTGCCCACTGCAGTAACTGTGCCCGCCTTGCCTCTGAAGGTTAAGTTTTGCCATTGGCCTTGGCCATTCCGGAGTCCCATCAGCCCTCACTGTTATTAAGGGAGTCTGTTCTGCTGCACCAGCTACCCCTCTCCCATGTGGCCAGCAGAAAAATCACTGGGAGACTAGTGCCAACTCTGCAACCTGTGCATTCCCTGATGCCTTTAGAGCACGGTGTGTCTCTAAGAGGGAGTGAAAGTTAGTTCAACCACTGGGGAAAGCAGTATGGTGATTTCTCAAAGAGCTGAAAGCAGAACTCCCATTCCATCCACCAATCCGATTACTGGGTATATACCCAGACAAATGTAAATCATTCTACCGTAAAGACACACGCACAAGAATGTTCACTGCAGCACTATTCACAATAGCAAAGACATGGAATCACCCTAAATGCCCATCAATGACAGATTGGATAAAGAAAATATGGTACATATACACCATGGAATACTATGCAGCTATAAACAAGAATGAGATCATGTCTTTTGCAGGAACATGGATGGAGCTGGAGGCCATTATCCTTAGCAAGCTAACACAGGAACAGAAAACCAATATCACAGGTTCTCACTCGTAAGTGGGAGCTAAACGATAAGAACTTATGAACACAAACAAGGGAACAACAGACACTGTGGTCTACTTGAGGGTGAGGGTTGGGAGGAGGGAGAGGAGCAGAAAAGAGAACTATTGGGTACTGAGCTTAATATCTGAGTAATGAAATAATCTGTAGAATAAATCCCCATGGCCCGTGATTACCTCTGTAGCAAACCTCCACATGCAGCCCTAAACCTAAAATAAATGTTAAATTAAAGAGATAAGGGCCTGTCCTTTGAACTCTCCCAGAGCACTCTGATTTTACACAGTAGCCCCCTTTTATCCACAGCTTTGCCTTCCACAGTTTCAGTTACCCACTGTCAACGGTGGTCAGAAAATATTAAATGGAAAGTTCCAGAAATAAACAATTCATAAGTTTTCAATTATTTGCAGTGCTAAGTAGTGTAATGAAATCTCACGCTGTCCCACTCCATCCTGGTGGGACATAGATTATGCCTTTGTCCAGCAGATCCACGCTGTAGATGTTGCTACCCTTTAGTCACTTAGTAGCCGCCGGGATTACCAGGTCAGCTATCACAGTATCACAGGGCTTGTGTTCAAGTCACCCTTATTTGACTTAACAATGGCCCCAAAGAGTAAGAGTAGCAATGCTGGCAATTCGGATATGGCAAAAAGAATCCATACAATGCTTCCTTTAAGTGAGAAGATCAAAGTCCTCAACTTAAGAAAAAAGTTATATGCTGAGGCTGCTAAGATCTACAGTAAGAACAAATTTTCTACCCATAACATTGTGACTAAGGAAAAGAAATCTGTGCTAGTTTGGCTGTCATGTCTCAAACTGCAAATGTCATGGGCACAGTGTGTGATAAATGATGTTACCATGGAAAAGATAATAAATGTGTGGGTGGGAGACCCGAACAGACATGTGGTCCATGGATGGCAATTGGGTTTGGTAAAAGCACAGTTTTAGGCATCAGTGGGGGTCTTAGACTATATCCCCCACAGATGAGGGGGAACAGCTCTATCGTACATGGAGTCTAACATTTTGACCTTTGCCGAGCCTTCTGAGCCTTTCCTGCTGTGCCAAGGAAGTTCTCCATCTCCGTTTACTCAAGGACAAACTGATATCCACAGCTCACTGGATCTTACCCACAAACTATCAGGACCAGCTGGTCCCAGGGGACCTTGACATGGAATCAAGAACCTGGAGAGATGGGCTCCTTGACAATAAATTCTCCCCATCCAGCCGTGTATTTCTCTTCCTACCTAGTTCCATCAATATTCCTTCTCATACATATTTTCTTGGTTGCTGCTAGCATGAATTAGCCAGATCCTGAACTCGTCCAGTGTGTAAGGTATTTTCTCCCAGAAAAGGGAATGTCCTTCTCTACCCTGGCTATGTGGAGGCCTGGACCTGTCTATCAGCCTGAAATTAGAGGAGGGGTTGGGCCATGATGAGCACAGGTAGCTTTTCACAAGAAATCTGCACGCCTCGCACCCTGGTTGCCATCTTCAGCCAAGAAGCTTCTAGAGTGTTCAGGTAGGAAGTGGTCGTTCCCCTACAACAATCGGTCAGGAGCAGAAGATGGCTTTTAGAGGTTTCTGAGAAAACTGAGGTAGCAAAATTCTCCTGCTCACTCATCTATGTGTTTCCATCAAAGGCCCAAGTGCTCCTCTTCACATCGGAGTCACAACTAGGACATAGAGCGCGCTGAGGATGTGCACTGAGTCACGTTTGCAGACGTGCCATCCTTGCAAGGACATCCTGAATGTGGCGTTTAGCAGGGCAGAAAGTTTCCATAAAGTTGAAATGGCAACACTGTAGCTGCTGCAGAAGCTGGAGCTGGCTTTGAGAGGCCAACTGGCTTTTCTAGGCTTAAGATTTCTTCCTTCTATCTCCCTCTCTCCCTCTTTCCCTCTCTGTCTTTCTCTCTCTTCCCCTGCCCATCTGCCTCTTTTTCTGTCTCCTCCTGCCTCCCTCTCTCTCTTTCTCTCTCTTTTCAAAGTTTCTAGGAGAGGTAAAGAAACCGGTCCATGCCACAGTCCTTACAAATATCGCTGCCGTGTTTTTCCATCATCACCACAGGCTCCTCACATCCCAATGCCTTGCCTTATTTGTGGAGCTCATTCTGTATAACCATAGGTGAAAGCCCCAGTGATTGTGACTTCACTTCCTATTGGGGGTAACACCATCCCCACATTTAACACCAATGATGGGGGTCTAATTGCCAACACAGCAGTGAGAAATCTGGCCCCAGAATCCGAACCTGAAGACACGCTTTGTAGAACCACCCTGGAACCAAATGTCTTACCTGGTTGTACCCCTGAAAGCAGAGTCTGAAACAGAGACATTACGTGATATTATTTTACTAGGAAGCAGAATCTCAGGAAACAGCATCAAGAGACACAAAGAGCAAAGCAGGGAGGAAGAGAGATGCAGTTGCAAGGAAAATCTCTAACTCATCGCAATTCAATGCCACCAGTGGCTTGAGCTGCAAAGGTGAACCTTAGGGAAGTTGTATCAATGCATCTCATGGCTACGAATTGAATGGGAGAAAGGAGTAAGCAAGACCATCTCCCAAACGCCAAAGTGGTCTTATTGGTCATTAACAGATCAGAAGGAAGAAGGCATGCTTTGCAGGCAGGAGGGCCAAAGACTATTAGGTTTCATCAAATAGGACTGAGCCCATGGGCAGCTGGCTATTACAGCAACATCTGGAACAAGAATCACATGACGCAGACAGGATCGATGTGGTACCAAAGCAGTATCTGATTGGAGCAGAACTACATCAGATGCCAACATTGTACTCTTTTGTAATCGAAGTTGAGAAAAGTTGTATCTTTCCATTGGTGTTACAATCTATTAGATAGACTCCAAAGTAATAATGCTTTTTAAAAGATGTTTGTGGGTAAGAACAATTTTTCCACATATTTTTCATTGCACAGCATCTAATCCACTTAGGATTTAGTCTGGATCAGAGCAGGGACATACCTTATTGAGAAAACCCATGCGGTGGACAAAAGAACTTCCTTTCTTCCAGCTCTGAGACTGTACATAAAATGAGCTTTGCTGTAGGACTCGGGGGTTAGTTTGTCCCTTAGTACACCTCTCAGCCACTCAGAGAAACACACCCTAGCACCCCCGGCCTACACCTGCAGATGTGGTCGGCCAGTGAGCTGGCCACCCAAGAGCCATTCACAGCCCCTTTTTCCTTCCTTCCACTGTTATAGGAGATAGGAAGCTCAATATGCATCTCTCGGGCACCACACAATACAAGGAGAAATCTGTGAGAACAGCTTTCCTTCCCTGAATAAAAAGTCAAGCCTCCTGAGAAAGCCTTTGGCCCTTGATTCTTCCTCCATCCTGGAACAGAAAAGTCTTGTCCGGAGAAACCATATCCGTCATCTAACTCTGGAAACAAAAGTCACCTGCTAAGAAAGACAGAGCCAGAAGACAGAGCAAGTCTGGACTTGGATGCATGTTGAGTAACAGAAAACCTTGGATCCCTGAGTCCAGGGATTAATGAACAAAGCCAAAGCTCTTTGAGTTTAAGCTGAGCCATAGCTGGATTCTGACAATGCAGCTCAAACTGGGGTCTCCTGTTACATAAGTAGCAGGGTTTTGAAATCAGGCAATAATGGGGCACTACCAGACAGTTCTCAACCTTGGCAGAACATTAAAATCACACAAAGGGTTTATTAATCTACTGAGGCCTGGGTGCCACGCAGATCTTGATCTCTGGGTGGAGGAGCAGGCATTGGAAGAATAACTGCAACGGAGTTCAAAGGGAAGGAAGACATGGTCTGTGCCCTAAAGGAGTTTATAGTTGTATACGTGTGGGTAGGAGGATGATATCAGTTAAAATACACTGTGAAAAAATGGCATCATAAAGACAACCACAAAGTGTTCTGAGAGTGTCCAGGAGGGAATACTGAATTGTTGACAGTGTCAGGCTGTGCTTCTTGAGGTGACATCATTGCACTTGGTCTTCATAGCCGAATATGTCTTTGCCAGGGAAAGCAATGACCACGTGATCCAACACTTACATATAAAAGCTCTTGACACATTTGAAGAAAAGTACAATTTTAAGGATGCTGTTCCCTTGCATCATACTTCTTCTTCTTTCCTCCTATTTTTGTCACCTCCCCCCACAACGCTGCCAACCTAGTCAAGCGATAGCTTAGATTTTCAAGTCCTCAAGGGCAGGAGGTTTGTCTTTGGTTCGCCTGCACCTTCCTCACCTGGAGTCTCCACCCAGCAGAGGAGAATGCCTACCCGGATTGAGTCAATGCTGCTGATAGGCAGAGGAGGTATATTTAATAAACTGGTCCTCTTACCTCTAAAAGTAATTCCTTTTTGTTGAGCTCTGAAGGAACAAACTGTGCTGAGAGGCATATTAATTTGCTCCAGGGTTTTGTACAGCCTTCTTGTTCTCCCTTTTGACTAGAATGGCTCAACAATCATCTCTCATGCACCAGGAAGATAATTAGTCTCCTTCCCTGTCACCATGGGATTTCTAGGTGCAGCAGAGGTCCCACACCTCCCTGGAGGCCACGAAAATGAAAAGGGGGAAAAATGATGCTCAACTATTAGGGGATACAAACCTTAAAACCCAGCCAAATTCAAACCACAGTACAGAAAAGCCAGCAAAAGCACAGTGGAAATGATCCTTGCATTTGTTCAGTAAAGGTTAATTGAGCTCCTTCTATGTGTTGGATACTGTTCTAAACTAAGGAGGTAGCAGCAGAGAGGGAGGAATTCCAAGTACCCTGCCCTTAGGAGCTTCTATTCTTCTCAGCAAAGGAGGACAAAAACCAAACCACAAAGTGCCATGTGTAGTGTCAGTGGCTAGAAGAGATACGGGAAAGAAGGCGTCATGGAGAGTGGTGGGGAGCGCAGGAATGAGAAACTGTTGCTATTCTTGATTGCATCATCCAGGACGGCCTTGCTAAAAAATGTCGCAATGAATAGAGACCTAGAGGATGGGACAGAGGAAGTCCTGTAAGCATTTGGGGAGAAATGAGGCAATTTGGGCTGACAAGACAGTGACCAGAGATGGGAGTCTGCTTAGTGTGTTCAAGGAGCAGCAAAGAGCCTAGTGTGTTTGTAACCAAATGAGCCAGGGGGAGATACCTGGGCAATAAAGTGCATGAGGAAGAAGAGCCATTTCATCAGGGGCCTCACAGGCTACCATAGGACCTCTTCTTTGTACTCAGAGTGAAATGAGAACTTGTTCAAAGATTTTGAGCACAGTTATGTGTTTTAATTTACTGTAGCAGGATTTTTGTATGTGCGATTGCAGGAAATGTTTCAAACAAGAAGCATTCGACTTTTTCAAATGTTGCTGATGGGCTGACTAGTAAAGTGAGTTTTGAGACTAGACCATTAAATTTACCACTAGAGATAATTAAGTGGAAAGTGGAGGTGAGTGGATACCTGGCATTGGTGCCAAGGATAGCAGGAAGAGAAGGATTGGAGTTTGTAGGGTCCTGTAAAGACATAAAAGAGAAGTTCCTATAGAGACACACAGAGAAATGAGAGGGCAGCTGGACAAGATGTGGAAGCTGGAGAAGGAATGCGTATATATATAGACATACACAGATAGTCTATCTATATATAATGTGTGTATATATACAATCTATATAATACTATATATTATATGTGTGTATATATCTATATATAATATGTGTGTTATAGGAGTGTGTATATATATATTCACACACACAAATTATATCTATATATAATATGTGTGTATATATATACAATGTATAGTACTATATATTATATAGTGTGTATATAGGTACACATTATATATATGTGTGATATAATTATTGTATTATGTATACACATATTATTATATACATAATGCATTATATATATACATATATTAATATAACACACAGATAATATACACATATATATTAAGACGGAAGGACATGCAAAATTTTGTTATTGTCACTCATGATTGCTGAACCATTTCTGACATGTATGGTACAAACACTAGCCAATCTTCTGCCTCCTCGAAGATGTAAACTTTTATTCTAACATCATCAATACGGACAAGCACAAATAGAGAATATTCTTATCCTGAGAAGGCTGCAGTTTCTGAGCAGCCTCGTTACCTATTCTGTCCTAGCTCAGAGGACTATTCCATATGGCTCTATTATATGCCGTTTCACAGATACCATTTTGTGTCCTAGCAATTATGTAATTACTTGTAATATGTCTTTGTCCACTTTTCCCATCACACTAAGTTTCCCAAGGGTGGGAACTGTGACAGCTTCATTAACCCACCATCCCCAGTGTCCAGCACAGGCACCACTGTATAGGACATACTTGTTTAAAATTGATAAATCAGTGCTTGAGAATGGCAGCAGGGCTAGAAACGTCAAAGACTCTTCAAGATACAAAGAATTTTCACAATTTGGACTGGCTGACCTTTGAGGACCATCAGTCATGACAATTAGGCCAAAATTTGTCCAGACTTGAATCCAAGGACTCTCAGGCTTTAAAGGACTTGTTAAAGTAGATAACTACTTGTTATCAAGATCTAGTCTAAATAATTCTATACTTCCCTATGGCAATAGCTGGAGTCTTGGAGAATAGAGAAAGAAATCCTGTGAAGAGTGAACTTGGGCCGTGTTCCTATTCAGACAAACCAAATGTGTTCTCCATACCCACACGTTGGATAGAGTCAAAGTCTGAACCCACAGGAAATCAGTGTGACACTAAACACTCATGCACCAAAGCAGATAGGAATAAAGGACTGTTTTAAAAGAAGGACCTTTGGATACCCCTCAAATATTTACACATTTAGTTAACATGATAAAAAGAAAAACCTTTCCACAGAATTCACCTCAGTGAGATACTGTTTTTTTTTTTTTTTTCAAACACTTATTAATTGGTAGGTATGACAAACAAGGTGAGATCTTGGGGGCATAGTTTTAATAAGATTCCAGTGAGAGTGAGAGAAAGCTAAATTATTAGGTAAAAAAGGAATAAACAGAAATGAGACTTTTTACAGTTGAAGAAGAGAAGAACATAAAGAGGGTCTCGGGAAGCACAGTGGCAGCACCATATACGGAGAGCCAGGAGATTTTTAGGAGGATAGTTGGCCAATGGGATCCCTGGAAAAAAGAGTTTGAGTTTGAGGCACAGCGTACATTCTAATATGTTATTAGGAGGTGCAATCCCAGGGCAGCAAAACATGGGAGAATTGTAGTGAGGCAGGAAACAAAGAGAAGCAGATATACTGGGATGCATAATTAAAATATCTGCAGTTTCATAAAAGAGAAAAAGATGCTGACAGGTGTTCGGCCCCACAATTCATCTAGGACATGCCTTAGAGAAAGAGCATGCTGCCAAATAGTCCCTTGAATGGAGAGATGGAAAGAAATTGCATCTGCCAAATCCCTCCCATCTCCAATCCTTTATCAATCAATATGTGTCTCAATCGAAGTTAAATCTCCTGGACGTGCTAATACCTAAGAAGCTCAGCAGCCCCAGGGGAAGGCAGATCAACGTCCTGTACTATGGTTTTTCATCAAGGAAATGGCTAAAGAAGCCAAAATTTCCAGCCAGAAATGCAACTCCTTGTTATTTATTTATTTATTTTGTCTGCATTTCCAATAGAGTAGAAGCTCAAACTGGTCAGCTGTTTGTCATGGCCTACTGTTTCTTCTGGAGGAATATTTCTGCATTGAGAACCTTGCCCGCTAACATACAGAAGCCTAAGTTTAACTGGGAAGAGCAACAGGCAGCACGAATTCCAGAAGCGGGTCACTGGGAGCCCTCAATAAGAGGCTTCGCCCTGGAGCTCTGTATTCTAACCAATGGGACATGCACCATACTCAGCAATGGGTTCCATGCCCTTACTGAGGACTTATCTCAGAGGACAGGGCTTCAACCCTCCAAGGCATTGCCCTGAAGATGACCATTAGCTGAGTACTCTGTCTGCTCAACAGCTTCTCTGTAGTGAGACACATAGCAGGACAGATGGATTCCATGGCCAGAAACCCCGATGTGATGTCTGCTTTGTCTTCAAATGAGTCTGTTGTTCTGGGGCAATGACTCATTAGATATGACATCGATGGAGAAAGCTTTCTACAACCCTTCGGTTGAAGGTAATTCCAGGCAGATTGCTATCAGTGAAGGCAATTCAACATCTAAAATACATAACAATTCTGGGAAACAAAAATTGCTGCTCCAGCCAAGGGGGAGGGTGCTTTGTAACTGACCCACTACGAAGAGGCTGGAAGGTCTCTGAGAAATGAAGAGCTGCCCAGGCTAAGCATTGAATTCTGCTACCAGAACAACGGGCTGTGTAATTACTAAATTTGTTGAGAGACACCCATGCTCGTGGGCCCACACGTTGTCTCCAGCCCTGTTATTAAGAGCACTCTATTCATGAGCTGAATGTACCATCCCAGAGGTGGCTGAGGATAATGGCTGACTAACATCAAAAATCCAAGCACTTTATCCCCACTCCCGAGAATCCATGTACATATCTTCCCCAGACCTTTTGCTCTTCCCACTGGAAATATTTCCCTTTTCCACTGCCTTTCAAAATTATCCCTAAACTTCTTGCAAGTCCCCTTATAAGAAGAGACAGCAAACTGTTCTCTCTTTCTCTGTCTCTCTCTCTTTCTGCCATGTGAGGACAAAGTGAGAAGGCATCTGTCTACAAACCAGGAAAAAACACGCTATAGGCTGAATGTTCATGTACCCCCACAAATTCATAGGCTGAAACCAAATCCCCATTTTGATGGTGTTAGACAATGGGGCCTTCGTGATGTAATTAGGTCATGATGGTGGATCACTCATGAATGAATTTTACCCCCTCATTAAAGAGACCCGAGAGAACTGCCTGGTCCTTTCTTCTGTATGAGGACAGAGCAAAAAGACAGCTGTCTGTCAGCCAAGAAGCAGGCCTTCAGCAAACACTAAATATGGCAGCACCTTAACCTTGGAATTCTCAAGCCCAGAAAACTGTGAAAAGCAAATTTCTGCTGTTTTTTAAGCCACCCAGTCTATGGTATTTTTGTTACAGCAGCCCAAATGAACTAAGATAGAGCCCCCATCAGGAACCAAATCTGCTGGCACCTTCATCCTGAGCTTCTATTCTCCAGAATGATGAGGAAATAAATTTATCTTATTTAAGCCCCCTAGCCTATAGTATTTGACTCTGACATCCCAAGCTGTCTGAGACAGAATTTACCATTTGCTGTTCACAGGATCCAGTTAGGATGATGTCGCCAACACCATGGACCAGCAAGATGTTCTACAGAATGTCAAGGTGGCCAGGTTTTCTGTGGAATTGATTACTGAACTGTACTACTCTGCTTGCCAAGTAAAGACAAATGGCTTTTTATTATCCCTATTGAGTCGTATCAAGAAGGAAACATTCTCCAGTTTAATCACTGCACACCAAGCCTGGAGGCTGTTTATCTGCTCCAGTGAAAATATCCCATCTGGCTGTCAGGACACCCGCTGAGATTTGTGTCAGAGTGTTCTCAGTTTAGGGTAGTCTACCATCATCTTCCAGGATACATGTTATTTTTGCAAAGGCAAAATTGAAGGAAAATCCATTGAATGAAGATGGATAGGAACCAACGCTGCTCAGTTCTTCAGATTTACTGTGGGGGCTCTTGTTTCTTCGGTTCCTTGGGGAATATGGTAGTGCTTCTGACTTTTTCTTCTTGGGAGTTGAAGGACTTGCACTTTTACATCTTCTACCTTAATGTCTTTTCCTCCATTGGTCAGGGAACCAAGGTAAAATTATTTCAGTTTCTAATTATATCTCTTCCAAATTTGCATTTTTGGCAGAGAAATCACCCCAGGCAGGTGCACATAATCACTGGATCCACTGATAGAGAAAAATCTTCATTTTTCACCTTGCTTCTATATGCCACCATTGTATCTGTAGGATGATTATGGCGTTCAGATATCCTGACTTCAGTGGCAGCTCAGATATGTGTCTAATAATCCTCCAAATCTCATTATCTCACATCCTTAGTGTAGAGACTCCCTAGAAGGTGGCTGTAATTGCCTTTCTGGAGGGATAGGAGGAAGAGTCTCGAGGAAACATTACAGGAGTTTTCCTCAAGGGGACCTGGACTCTCCTTCACAGGGCTCAATGACCAGGTTGACATAGGTAAACTGGATTAGAGATGACACTTTTCTACTGCAGCAGCAGACTTCAATTCCTGCTTGACAGCTCTTAATTTTTTTCTGAATATACAAGTAGAACAATACTTTAGTCAGCCGTCCATCTATCTAGTGACTAAAAGCACCATGATCTTTCAGCCATTGTCCCAGATCCCTGTGGACGGAGGCCTGGTGACTGTCATTCCAGCCTGTAGCCTGCCATGGTAGGACCTTGCTTTTGATGGATAAATGCTGCTCCTGGTCTCTCATTTAATAACCCTGCCATTGCCATTGCTGTTAGGGAACCCAGTTAAATGGTGGCATCTCTCATCACTGAATCACTGCATCCACTGTAAAATGGAAAATCACCATTTTGACTTGGCTTCTCTGATCCCCATTCACCACCAAACCTGAGCTACAGAGGACATCCATGACCAGGCTTTCTCGTAGAGTGCTCTTCATCCCTTCACCCGTGCATGATTTATAATCTTAGTGAGAGGAATGCCCTCCAGGGTCCTCTGGGGAACACTGTCAGCAATGGGTTCTCAGTTGTACATAATAAACCTTCTCTCACATTCCAATCTCCCTGATCCTCCTGACATCATCTTTAGTAGAATACCAGGGAATTTCTGACACTTGCCTCTTTCTGTAGGTCATAAGGAAGTCCAGGCTATAGGGAGTCCTGCCAGTGAATGCTTAAGAACTGCCCAGGTGTCTCTGACTAAATATTCAATCTAGAGTCAAAAGTACATGCTCCTCTCTCCTCTCCCGGATTCAATCCTATACCCTCCTCCTCTAGATGAATGCTCTCAAGTCCCAATCCCACCTGTGTTCCCACAGTGCCTGTCTGTACATATCAGCCTGGTCCCACAGAACCTTTGACATTTAGCCTGTGTCTTTCTGGGGAAGGGAAGTGATTGTATGTCCTTGTCTGAAATCAGTGGTGGTGGTGGGACAAAGTCTTGAGGAAGAAAAACATCATGTGATGTCACTTCCTTAAGTGATGTAATCACACATTCTACAGGAAAGATGAGGCTGTTTCCTTCTGACAACTTAAAGGATCTACTTCAATCAGCAAAAACAGTCCGGGGTTCAAAATTCTCAGGCTTGTCCCTCAAATGACACTATCTCATAGTGCAGGGATGTTTCTGAAAGACTTGACTTTGACCTAAGGACCTTTCACATCTGTGTGATTAGTTTCCTTTCAGATCCTTTAGTCTTGTAGTGAGATCCCAGGTCTGATTTTCAGTGCAGTGTGTCCTGTGGCTTTACGTTGTCATGGACTTCTTCAAAGGTGAGATAAGAGTTTTCTGGCCTTCAGGACGTACCTTAAGTTCATCATTAAATGGCATGATCTTGTTAACTTTTATTTTACAACGGCTTTAATGTCATTTAAATAAGCAACTCCACTTCACAAATCATATAATTATTGCTGCTTGCAAACCTCGTTAAGTGCTGCAGATACTTATCCTTCCACCTCCTGTCACCCCAGTTAAACACAGGTGAAAGCTGAGCCACATTGCCACAGCACACACAGAGTTCCCCCACACCACTTACTACCAGCACTGCTTTCAGGAGGGAAATCCAACAGCAAAGTCCCTTGTTTAAGGGACTGCCATCTAGAAAGACTTAGGCAAATTTCCCCAGGAAAGGGAGCCTGAGGCAAAGCGTAAAAGCTCATACTTTATTCGCGGGTACAATCTCAGGGAGTGAGTGAGGGAGAATGTCTCTTGGTGCATGACCAAGCTGCCCAGTGCTTTTGAAGAAACACTGTTAGTCACTTAGGCTTGTGGGGTATTTTCAGATGAATTTAATGAAAACACCAGGCCTCAGGATAATCCAGGAGAAAGAGGAAAAAGCAGGAATTTATCTGCTGGCCTCTCGTTTCCCCTTTATCCCGTTGATCAAACTGTACCACATGGAAATTGAACTACCCCCACACACTTTCACACTCACACTGTATCACCTGAGTCATTGAGTGTCTGCTGAGGAAGCCAGATCTCTTGTCTTGTGGCAGGAAGTGGGAGGAGAAGCTGGGGAACCCTGCTATTGGCCTCAGGCAATGGGGTCACATTTGCCCACATGAATTTAGTAAAAGCTGGGCTGGAGCTAGGTCCAAAGCCTCAGGGAAGCCGTGAGACCATCCACTTTGGGGGTGTTGTCCTGGAGAGCTTCTCTAGCAGGTATGGAAAGGTAGTGTTTTTCAGAATGGGGTTATCTAGTGCCTAATATTTTATTGTTCTTTGCCATGCGATGTGATGGGCTACTGCCTCTCCTCCATCATCATGACTCCTCTGGAAAGGTCTAATATGGTGAAATCACTGCAGGTAGAGTGATACGAACTGAGAAAGGTAAAGGAAGTGTTTCCACACCGAAGACAGTGTGAGGCAGAGAGATAAGAACATACGCCAGAGGAAGGACCTCAGTCGGGCTGAAAGTTTGGCGTCTGAGAATCAGTACATGATGTCTCCATGAGAATGTAAATCTGTGGAGAATCAGAGAACACTGGGGCTGCTTTGGACTTAATGGACACTAAAAGATGGAGGACTCAACTAAGTTTTAGTTTCACTTTAAAGGGCACATGATACCAACCCCCATACCAATTTCACGTGGTTTCCACGGAGCAGTTTGTTTAGGCCACCAGACAAGGACTTAGTAAACTTGACCCATGTTGTGACCTGACAGTGACCGGGAAAAATTTATTCTTATCATGTCTCAATTACCTCAAACACATTGGGAGGGAATGGCAATAGACAAGAGTCAGACCTTCCACTTCTGTCTGTGATTCTAGTTCTGATCCAGTGATAATTTTGGCAATCACATTTAAATAAAGATTAAAAAAAACTTTAAAAGTCAATTTGCTATTTAAACCTGATCACACCTCTCTAGGTCTCATTAAGCTTCTAATCATGCTGGCTGATAATATAACTTCTTCCATGGCACACCACACTATAGGTTTCTGGATTTGAATTAACTGGTTCTGTTCAATGAATGGACCATTACTTTATCAGTTTCATTAGTATAAATTACATGGTGTTGTAATTTATTCATTGGGATCCACTACAGGTATTAGAAAATTTGATCAAAGCTCAAGCTAAGAGAAAGAAAACACATAGAATGCTGAAAGACTTTTCCTATATTGAAATGGCTGAAAGTCTGTAAAAAGAAACAATTTTAATGTACCTCATGAATATGCTGACCTCATTTCTGATAGAAGCCCATATAATTTCAGTGGAAAAAGGCTTTGAGAGTTGCAATTAAGGTAAATGTGCCTTGAGATAGGAAGTCCCTTCTGGTTCAAGTCCACTAGCTAGATATTGATGGCTTTCATTTGTATTAGCACCAGACACTACCTTCTAATTAATGCAAACAAGTCCTCCTTGCCTAACATTCCCTAGAATATTTGGTTTTGATATTATGCTTTAAATGGTCAAGAGCATTCTGGGCTTCTTAATTACTTTTCCTTGCATTATGTCCCACTTTTAAACAGGCAGAGGAGTGTGGCTAGAGTTTAACTAGGTTTCTTATAAGGCTTCCCCCTTGGTAACCATTGTATAATCACTAAGGCAGGCTGGCTGCATTCTTTGTCTAAATTCTTGGGGAAAGTTTCAAAAATTTAATTAAGCTTTATGATTTTTATATTTGATATCTCCCCTTTTATTATATGCATAGAAGTGAATTTGAGTAGATTTTTATTTGCGGAGACTGATTTGGAGTAACTTTCTCTTTTAGATTTTAGAAAAATTTGGGGGTGATCAATGAAGACTAAACCAGATCGGCTTGGTCCTAGGTTTGACAAAGCCATACTTTCTTCTTCCTGCTACATTTTGTTGTCTTAAAGTAATTATGTTTTGTGGTTGACTGAAAAACTTCCATCTGAGACTTAGATGGCTTTCTAAATCTCTGGAACATTCTAGATTCAAGCATAAAATATTACTCTAATTTTTTTGCAGAGCATGGAAAGCACGTGAAAGAGACAGACCTAGTAACCTGAACACAAGTGTGATCAGCTCTTGAAATGGTGGTACTGTGGCAGTCACATACTCACCACTCAGGTGGTCAGATTTTCTTCTACTCCAGTAGACTTCTTTTGCCTATTTGTGAACGGGCATATCTCTGAAAATAAATGATTACATTTGTGTATTACCTGAAAATTTTTTAAATCTGGGTTTCAGATTTCATGGACAGTTTCTAGGTTTGATCAAATTTTTCTATAAGCTTGAAAATAATCTTGAATTGTGTCTTGGATATGACAAAGCTATAATCATGTTTTGTGAGCCTCTAATCTCTATGAAAACCAACAAAAAGGAATGTTGCAGAATAATTAGAAAATAGGACAGTAATTTAGACTATTCCCTGTTTTATATTGAAATCTGAATGTATTTCTTGAATCTAACAGCTCAGCATCATTCCTCGGAATCTTAAACTACTTACAGCCGTCTAGAATTTGGAAAAGCTCCATGTCACTGATGTATTTGCTACAGCAGGATGTTTAAATATCATTTAAATAAAATATTAATATAAAAATATGTAATATACAGTGATATTCCTTCAGTTATTTAAATGTCCATTATCCATCTCTACCTTGATCACAGCAAATACAAAAGAAAAGAAAAGAAAACTTCTGAATAATTAAAATTGATGTTATAAAAATCTATGTACTCAAATTCATATACTTTGCTGTTTGAGAGTTGCTATTTATAGGTTTTGATCTGGCAGCCTAACAGATATAATATTTTAAAAGACCAAAATCTGTACCTTTGCCATGTGATTTATTTGAGGATGTTAGTCTCATGGAATTTTATAAAAGCAATTTCTCCTACTCTTCAAACATATGACATTTGTGAAAAGCACTATGACAACCAAGTTAACACAGGCTTGGTTGTAAAGTTTAGCCTCGACCACTATGTAACACATAAACAAGCATGGGGGTAGTGTCTAGGCTCTGGGAATTTACCTCACACAAGTGCTTCATTAATTCTTTGGGGATATGTCCAATCACTACTGCTGCGTAATAAAAATCCCAACTTTAATAGTATAAGCAACCATTTTATTATGCACATGGATTCTGTGCTTTGGAAATTCAGAGAGGGCTCAGCAACAGTGGTTTGCCTCTGTTCTACAACGTCAGCAACCTCAGCTGGGAAAACCCAACGGCTGAGGGAAAACCCAACGGCTGGTCCCTGCATCCGCTAGGACCAGCGCCATCCAAAGGCTTGTTCCATCACATGGCACTCAAATTTACAGATTTTTCAGAAGGGCAATTAAATGTCACCTTTGATGGAGAAGTGGCAAGAACATATTGTCAAAAAGCAAATGGAATGGGGAAGTTTTTGTGACGATCTTTGGAAAATACAATTCGCGACAGCCTGTGAAACCTTGACTAGATTTGCTTCCTTGGTCAATCTTCCAGTCTTTTAGAAAACAGAAAACTGCATGTGCCAACATGCACCCCACCCCTATGCTCCCAGCAACATGTATACAGGAGGTGAGTTTCCACTGGAGCAGGCAAGTCACTCCTTTCCCAGGATCACTTGGGAAAACAGCGTGCACAGAAACCCAACAAAGAACCCTCTGCGACCCACATAGGCAGAACAGCTAGTCAAGCCCCTGTGATATCGGATGGCTTACTTCACTCGTCTGTGCCTCCACTCTCTCTTCCATCAAATGGGGGTAAGGTACTGACAGCGTAGTGATAAAAAATTACAAAAAGTTGCTTTGAAAAGTGTCTGACAATTGGTAAATATACAAGGCATTTTAATAAGACCCTAAATATCATCAGTGCCTTACATTCTGATGGTTATTCTCAAGTCACTCCTGAAATCCCTGTGCCAGTCTTCCTAATAGAACTCCAACAATAATGCACTTCTGACATGCGTCTCGATGACAAACACACGGTGCTAGAATGGGGAAGAGGTCTGATAAAGGAGACTACCACTTTCGGCAAAATGGATCACTAATGCTCCAGGAAACATGTCCTGCTACAACCTAGACTCTCCAGCTAAAATCTATTTTTCAAAATCTCTCTGTACACCTGTCTGACCTGGAGGCAAAATAAGAGATCTCCTTGGAAGGCAAAAATGAAAATGCATGAATTTAAAGAGATAAGAAAGCACTGGACCCAGGATTTCCCTGTGCATCTCTGATGCCTTCTGGTCACCGAAGGTCTGGGTTTTAATGATCTGCATTACCTGGGAACAGGGGAGAAATGTGAGGTATGAGCAGGATGGAAATGAAGACGCAAAGACACTGAAGGGGGATATTCTCAGTAGAAGTAGAAAAATAGAGGAATGAGGTGTGTTTGTTTTCCCTTCTTCACATGATAGACATTACGGATTGCGCATATCTCAAATTTACCTCTGGATAAAGGAGAAAAATTAAAACTCCTAATAATTCCTACCTATGAACCCACACTCATGTTACCTGCCCCTCACAAAAAGGATGAAGGTAGAATTTAATGTAATACAGAATGATATGCTATCAGGTACCTTACAGCAGCAAACCTGTTTCTGCAGAAATTCTTCTTAAAACCAGGTGGGAGAAAATTTTGCTTCTGATATGCATGAGGAAGTTCATAAGAAAATGACTTGTTTCCAGATAGCAGTTGTAGACTCTGGGCAAAATACAGCCACCCCTGACCCCCCGCCCCTCAAAAAAATCCACTTTTAGTGCTGTGCAGACTGTACAAAAGTTGGCAGATATTTAGACATTTTAGGGAAATTGGAACTTAAAGGAGGCAATCAGCAACTGAGAAACAGTTGAGTTTCTCATTTTTGTAGCTTTTCCCTGACCACAGGCACAGTCACACAGGTGGCAGAGATGGCAAAGATGGTGTTGAAAATTCTGTTCTATTTCTTGTTAAAAGAACCAGTAGGAGGAGCATGGGGCCTCTGTGGCTGCAGAAAGGAGAGAGATGCCAAGTGGAAATCGAAGCGTTCCGTGTATAAAATCTGCTTAATTCTCCAGCGTCTCCCTGAACCTCTGTGTGCTGTGTGTACTGACGTCTGAGTAGCTACCTACAGCATGCATACAGTTTGCAATTTGAGTATAGACAACTTTATTGTCTCTTACTCTGACTGTTCTTACAAATTCTTCTTACAAAGAAGATCAGAATCAATCTCTCTACGACATAGAAATCGCAATGTCCAGAATGCAATCTACAACTACTCAAGACACAAGAATCCAGGAAAATATTTTCAATATATTCTCTGGAGGAAAATATAAGCAACTCTGTAATGTTCTGGATATTGGAATTATCAGGGAAAGATTTAAAAATAGCTATTATAGTAATGTTCACTGGGGCAAAAGGAAATAACTCATAATGAATGCAAAGGCAGAAAAGCTCAACAAAGAGATGGAATATGAACGTGTGTCTATACACACACAAATGTACGTTTTAAACTGAAAATACATGCTATCTGAATGTTTTTAAAAGCATTACTGAGTCTAAGAATGAGTGGAAATGGCAATGAAAAAGTCAGCAGATTTGAAGAAGGATAAATATAATTACACACTCTAAAGAAGAAAAAGAAAATATATACATATATATACATATATACACATATATATGTATATATATATATAAAAGAACCTCAGAAACTTGTGAGGAGAATAAAAATTTCCATTTAAGAAAAATTAGAGAAGCAGAGAGAGAGAATAGAAAAGAAAAAAAAAAGAGAAAAGAAAAGAAATTGAAAAATTATGGCTTCAAACTTCCAAATTCAGTGGCATATATGTATAGGTACAATCATCTCAGCAAACCCCAAACAAGATAAATACAAACCGATCAGTTACAAGGCACACAAAAGACCAACTGCTGAAGATGAAAGATACAACCGTGAAAGCAGCCAGAAGAAAAACATCCTCTGAAATTGATCACATTACTAGGGCTTCTCCCAGAAATACTGAAGACCAGAAGACAACAAAAGCATTGTTCTTAAAGTGCTGAAGAACAATAACAACCCAGATTCCATGTCCTGCAAAACTATCTTTTTTAAAATGAAGGGGACACATTTTCACCTACAGACTGCCTAGGGGAATTTATCCCACCAGATCTTCCCCATAGGAAATGCTAAAAGAAGTTTTCTAAGTTGAAGAAGGATGGTAATGGAAAATCAAATAAACAGGAATGAATGGAAGGTCATCGAAAATTATAATGGAGGAAGATATGAAATATAAAATCAGAAGTATATTATGCTAAATATATTAATTATTAACACATGTATACATATATTATTAATACCAATGAATAACATTGTATATGTTATTTATTAATGTATAGTTTTTATGTGCTATAAACATATAAAATGTTATTTATACCCTTAAATATTGAAATACATATACCTATTGAAGCAAAAATTATAATATTGTTGTGAGGCTTTAACATTTATAAATGCAGCTGCATAATGAATGATGAAAAATTATATTTAATGGCACACTATACAGAAAATAGATAAAACAAATAGAAAAGAAACCATGCAAAGACGCTACGAAATCAATCTATATAAACCACATCATTGAATATTAATTTTGCATTATACACACAGTGTTTCAATTAAAAGACTAAGACGGTCGCACTGGATATAAAAAGCCATAACCAATTATATGATACCTGTAAAAAGTTTCATTTTAAATTTAAAAAGCCATAAGGATTGGATGTAAATACATTTTTTAAAAATACATATTACGGAAACAGTAAGCATAAGGAAGCTAGAATGGATTTATTAGTATTGGATAGAGTGGACTATAACAAAAGTAGCATTACCAAATACAAATGGGTCAGCATTCATAATGATAATGAAGTCAGTTAGGATGATATCACAACCATAAATTTGTGTGTACATAAGAAATCCTCAAATTATATAAGGGACAAACTGACAGAAAGGAAGTGATACAGGATTCCACGATGATAGAGATTTTAATCTCCTCTAAGCAATTTATAGAAAAATTAGGTAATTCAGTAAAGACATAGAATATATGAAAATCACTATTAACCACATTGACCTGACTGCTATGTATAAAATACTAAACCTAAGAAGTGCAGAATAAACATTTTGAGGTGTGTATAGTACACTCACAAATGGGCCATACAATCAGTTTTAGTAAAGTTTACCAAGTAAAATTATACCCAGTATGTTCACAGGTAGCAACAGAATTAAAATAGAAATACTAACAATAAGATATTTGGGAAAATCCCCAATCATTGATTATTAAGCAATACTCTCCTAAATAATCCAAGGGTCAAAAAAGAGATTACCCACCAAAATTTAATTAAATTATAATAAATTATTAACATTTATATTAATATTCATGTGAAACAAGGAGTACTCAGAGGAAAATTCATAATTTCAAAATATTTTATCTCAAAGAAAAGTCTTAAGTCAATATCCTGATTCTACTTCAAGGAAAATGTAAAAGTTAAGTAAACACAAAGTAAGGAGAAAAAATGCATGTAAAGAGCAGATACCAATGGCATAGAAAACAGAGAAACACAGAAAATAAACAGTTAATCTGGTTATGGGAAATAATTAACAAAATTGGTATACAACTAGTTAAACTGAGCAAAAAAAAAATGAAATAGCAGGAAAAAAGTAAGATTCTCATCACAGCTCATACAAAAATCAAAAGGATATCAAGAAACTATTCAGCCAGGTGCGGTGGCTGACGCCTGCAATCCCAGCACTTTGGGAGGCCGAGGCGGGTGGATCACAAGGTCAGGAGATCGAGACCATGCTGGCTAACATGGTGAAACCCCATCTCTACTAAAAATACACAAAAGTAGCTCGGTGTGGTGGCGGGCGCCTGTAGTCCCAGCTACTCGGGAGGTTGAGGCAGGATAATGGTGTGAACTCGGGAGGCAGAGCTTGCAGTGAGCCGAGATCATGCCACTGCGCTCCACTCTGGGTGACACATTGAAACTCTGTCTCAAAAAAAAAAAAAAAAAAAAAAGAAAGAAAAGAAAAGAAACTATTATGATAACTTTATGCCAACAAGCTCATCCTCTTAGATGAAAAGAATACATTCCTTGAAACTTGCCATACAGACATGTCAACCAATGGAAAAAGACAGAGAGTCCAGAAATAAATCCAAGTATTTACAGTCAATTCAGTTTCAATAACGTTTCCAGAAAACACATACTGGGGAAGGGACAATCTCTTCAGTAAATTGTGCTGGGAAAAGTAGATATTCACGTGCAGAAGAATAAAAGTAGATCGTTGCCTCACACCATATACAAAAATCAACTCAAATGGATAAAAGACCTAAGCATGAGACTTGAAACTGTAAAACTTCTAGAAGGAAATAGGGAAAAAACTTTCATGATGTTGATCTGGGCAATGATTTCTTGGATAGGACTCCACGGTCACAGGCAACAAAAGCAACCATAGACAAAGGGGGTTTTGTCAAACTAAGAAGCTTCTGCACAGCAAAAGAAACAATTTGCAGAATGGAGAGACCACCAACAGATTGGGATAAAATATTTTCAGGCCATACACCAGATAAGGGGCTAATATTTAAAATATATACTGTACTTAAATAACTCAATAGCAAGACAACAAACAACATGACTAGAAAATGACAAGGAAGGGAAGCAGACATTTCTTAAAGATATATATATATATCTCCCAGATATATGAAAAACTCTCAACATATTTAAGCAAATGCAAATTAAAACCACAATGAGATATCACCTCACACTTTTTAGAATGGTTATTATCGGAAAGATGAATGATAAGGTGTTGGCAAGGATGTGGAATAAATGCAATCCTTGTACACTATTGGTGCGACTGTTAACTTGTGCAGAAATGATGGAAAACAGTATGGAGTTTCTTCAAAAAATTAAAAATATGATCCAGTAATTCCTGTATGATTCAGTAATTCCACTTCTGGGTATAAATCCAGAAGAAATAAAATTACTATTTCAAATAGCCATCTGCAAACCTATGTTCACTTTAACTTTATTCCCAATAGTAAAGATATGAAAGCAACCTAAACGTCCTTAAGTGAATAAATGGATAAAGAAAATGTGGTATATATGCACAGTGGAAGACTATACAGCCTTAAAAGAAAATTCTGCCATTTGTGACAACATGAATGGAAATGGAAGACAGTCTACTAAGTGAAATAAGACAGACACAGAGAGACAAATACTGTATGATTCCACTTGTATGTGGGATCTAAAAAAGCGAATCTCACAGAAACAGAAGGTAAAAGGGTGGATTTTACCAGATGGAGCAAAATGAGGAAGGGGAACTTATTGATCACAGGGCAAAAATTTCATTTCGATTGTAAGAATAAATTGTAGTAATCTATTATGTTACATGATGACTACAATTAATAGTAATGTATTGTATGTTTCAAAATTCCTAAAAGGCTGTATTTGACTAGTCTCATCTCTTTGGTGAGGTGACTGATATTTTAATTAGCTTAACTGAATCTTTCTATAATGTATACATAGATCATAATATCGCACTGGGCAGGGCACAGTGACTCACACTTGTAATCCTAGCACTTTGAGAGGCCAAGGCAGAAGGATCACTTTAGCTCAGGAGTTCAAAACTACTTTGGGCAACATGGCAAGATCCCATTTCTACAAGAAGTAAAATATTCAGATGGACATAATGGTATGCACCTGTAGTTCCAGCTACTCAGGAGGCTGAGGTGGGAGGATCGCTCGAGCCCAAGATATTGAGGCTGTAGTCAGCTGTGATCTCACAATTGCATGCCAGCCTCTGTGACACTGAGGTCCTGTCTCAAAAACAAAACAGAACAAAACAAAACCCACATTGTACCCAATAAATATTCATAATTATTATTTGTCATTTAAAAATAAAATTTAAAAGCACAAGAAAAGATGCTCAAAATCATGTCAGTAGACAAATTCAAATTAAAAGCTCAATGAGTAACTACTACATACCTGTTAGAATAGCTAAAGTTTAAAAACAAATATATAACCACTGGCAAGGACGTGGAAGAGCTGGGAGATTAACGCATTGTGGTAGAAATATAAAATGATACAGACACTTTGGAAAAGAAGTTGACAGAATTTTCTAAAATGTAAATGTACCTACCATACCATGTGATTCAACCAGTCCATTCCTAGTTATTTAACTAAGAGAAAAAAATATATTTGCATACAAAGATATCTATATTAATATACAAGTGTTCATAGAAGCTTTATTTCTACTGAACCAAGACTGGACACAGTCCGAATGTCCCTCAACAAGTAAAGATATAAATAAATTGTGTATATGCATGCAATATGATTCTACTCAGTTATAAAATCAAATGAGATATTGATACCTGCAATAGCATGAGTATATAACAAAATAATTATGTTCAACAAAATAAGCCAGGCAAGAAATAATCCATGCTATGCAATTTCATTTGTGCAAAATTCTAGGAAATGCAACTAATCCATTGTTAGAGGAATGGATTACAGAGGGTCCTAAGGACACTTTTGAGATGAGGGGTGTGCCTATTTTCTTTACCTGGAAGGTAGTTTGATAAGTGTATATAACCCATCAAAACATATCCCAAAGCACACTTTTAATATGTGTAACTTATTCCATTATATTTAATCTTACACTTACACTTAACATAAATTATATTTAATACAGCATGTAAATATTTTTTAAATATGATTTTTTCTATGACTTTATTTAAGATCTTCAAGTTATATACCATTGAGATAAGTATTAGGGATATATTAAAATTGCTTAAAGTAATATATATTTGTTTATCAGTAATTATTTGGAGGCCATCTGATATTATTGGATATTCACATATGAGATATTAAATGTGTACTGATTATCCTTTCAGAACCAAAAATTTTGCTACTGCCATCCCAAATTTTACAATGCTAAAGTGAATGCATGTACCTTGTGTGGAGTTCCATGATACTGGCGTAACTAAGGAAGGAGGAGTCAAATAGAATGAGGGCCCATAATGCATACATTGGAATGGTCATAATTTTGTAATGCATCCATTTGCCATCCTTATTCATAAACTGGTTGAGCAAAGACTATTGCAGATGAATGAGAAAAGTCAACATTTATTGGAGCTCATTAATCTAAGTAATTTTGTATGCATTCTCAATGTGGACCAGCAATTGCCAATTAACACTATGTTGGAAATGAAATCAGACTTGCTTTCAAGT